>NC_000023.11:74886784-75189814 GCF_000001405.40 Homo sapiens | reverse complement strand
AAAGGCAAGGGTCGCAATACTAGTCTCTGATAAAACAGACTTTAAGCCAACAAAGATCAAAAGAGATGAAGAAGGCCATTACATAATGGTAAAGGGATCAGTTCAACAAGAAGAGCTAAATATCCTAAACATATATGCACCCAATACAGGAGCACCCAGATTCATAAAGCAAGTCCTTAGAGACATGTAAAGAGACTTAGATTCCCACACAATAATAACGGGAGAGTTTAACACCCCACTGTCAACATTAGACAGTTCAACGGGACAGAAAGTTAACAAGGATCTCCAGGAATTGAACTCAGCTCTGCACCAAGCAGACTTAAGAAACATCTACAGAACTCTCCACCCCAAATCAACAGAATATACATTCTTCTCAGCACCACAACGTGATTATTCCAAAATTGACCACATAGTTGGAAGTAAAGCACTCCTCAGCAAATGTAAAAGAATAGAAATTATAACAAACTGTCTCTCAGACTACAGTGCAATCAAACTGGAACTCAGGATTAAGAAACTCACTCAAAACCGCTCAACTACATGGAAACTGAACAACCTGCTCCTGAATGACTACTGGGTACATAACAAAACAAAGGCACAAATAAAGATGTTCTTTGAAACCAATGAGAAAAAAGACACAACATACCAGAATCTCTGGAACACATTTAAAGCAATGTGTAGAGGGAAATTTATAGCACTAAATGCCCACAAGAGAAAGCAGGAAAGATCTAAAATTGACAACCTAACATCACAAATAAAAGAACTAGAGAAGCGGGGGGAGGAGCCAAGATGGCCGAATAGGAACAGCACAGGTCTACAGCTCCCAGCGTGCGCGATGCAGAAGATGGGTGATTTCTGCATTTCCATCTGAAGTACCGGGTTCATCTCACTAGGGAGTGCCAGACAGTAGGCGCAGGTCAGTGGGTGCGCGTGCGAGCCGAAGCAGGGTGAGGCATTGCCTCACTCGGGAAGCGAAGGGGGTCAGGGAGTTCCCTTTCCTAGTCAAAGAAAGGGGTGACAGACGGCACCTGGAAGATCGGGTCACTCCCACCTGAATACTGCGCTTTTCCGACGGGCTTAAAAAACGGGGCACCAGGAGATTGTGTCCCACACATGGTTCGGAGGGTCCTACGCCCACGAAGTCTCGCTGATTGCTAGCACAGCAGTCTGAGATCAAACTTCAAGGTGGCAGCGAGGCTCGGGGAGGGGCGCCCGCCATTGCCCAGGCTTGCTTAGGTAAACAAAGCAGCCTGGAAGCTCAAACTGGGTGGAGCCCACCACAGCTCAAGGAGGCCTGCCTGCCTCTGTAGGCTCCACCTCTGGGGGCAGGGCACACACAAACACAAAGACAGCAGTAACCTCTACAGACTTAAATGTCCCTGTCTGACAGCTTTGAAGAGAGCAGTGGTTCTCCCAGCACACAGCTGGAGATCTGAGAACGGGCAGACTGCCTCCTCAGGTGGGTCCCTGACCCCTGACCACCGAGCAGTCTAACTGGGAGGCACCCCCTAGCAGGGGCAGACTGACACCTCACACGCCCAGGTACTCCAAAAGAGCTGCAGCTGAGGGTCCTGTCTGTTGAAAGGAAAATTGACAAACGGAAAGGACATCCACACCAAAAACCTTCTGTACATCACCATCATCAAAGACCAGAAGTAGATAAAAACCACAAAGATGGGGAAAAAACAGAGCAGAAAAACTGGAAACTCTAAAAAGCAGAGCACCTCTCCTCCTCCAAAGGAATGCAGTTCCTCACCAGCAATGGAACAAAGCTGGACGGAGAATGACTTGGACGAGCTGAGAGAAGAAGGCTTCAGACGATCAAATTACTCCGAGCCAGGGGAGGACATTCAAGCCAAAGGCAAAGAAGTTGAAAACTTTGAAAAAAATTTAGAAGAATGTATAACTAGAATAACCAATACAGAGAAGTGCTTAAAGGAGCTGATGGAGCTGAAAACCAAGGCTGGACAACTACGTGAAGAATGCAGAAGCCTCAGGAGCTGATGCGGTCAACTGGAAGAAAGGGTATCAGCAATGGAAGATGAAATGAATGAAATGAAGCAAGAAGGGAAGTTTAGAGAAAAAAGAATAAAAAGAAATGAACAAAGCCTCCAAGAAATATGGGACTATGTGAAAAGACCAAATCTACATCTGATTGGTGTACCTGAAAGCGACGGGGAGAATGGAATCAAGTTGGAAAACACTCTGAAGGATATTATTCGGGAGAACTTCCCCAATCTAGCAAGGCAGTCCAACCTTCAGATTCAGGAAATACAGAGAATGCCACAAAGATACTCCTCGAGAAGAGCAACTCCAAGACACATAAAGGTCAGATTCACCAAAGTTGAAATGAAAGAAAAAATGTTAAGGGCAGCCAGAGAGAAATGTCGGGTTACCCTCAAAGGGAAGCCCATCAGACTAACAGCGGATCTCTCGGCAGAAACTCTACAAGCCAGAAGAGAGTGGGGGCCAATATTCAACATTCTTAAAGAAAAGAATTTTCAACCCAGAATTTCATATCCAGCCAAACTAAGCTTCATAAGTGAAGGAGAAATAAAATATTTTACAGACAAGCAAATGCTGAGAGATTTTGTCACCACCAGGCCTGCCCTAAAAGAGCTCCTGAAGGAAGCACTAAACTTGGAAAGAAACAACCGGTACCACCTGCTGCAAAATCATGCCAAAATGTAAAGACCATCAAGACTAGGAAGAAAATGCATCAACTAACGAGCAAAATAATCAGCTAACATCACAATGACAGGATCCAATGCACACATAACAATATTAACCTTAAATGTAAATGGACTAAATGCTCCAATTAAAAGACACAGACTGGCAAATTGGATAAAGAGTCAAGACCCATCAGTGTGCTGTATTCAGGAAACCCATCTCACATGCAGAGACACACATAGGCTCAAAATAAAGGGATGGAGGAAGATCTACCAAGCAAATGGAAAACAAAAAAAGACAGGGGTTGCAATCCTAGTCTCTGATAAAACAGACTTTAAACCAACAAAGATCGAAAGAGACAAAGAAGGCCATTACATAATGGTAAAGGGATCAATTCAACAAGAAGAGCTAACTATCCTAAATATATATGCACCCAATACAGGAGCAGCCAGATTCATAAAGCAAGTCCTTAGTGGCCTACAAAGTGACTTAGACTCCCACACAATAATAATGGGAGATTTTAACACCCCACTGTCAACATTAGACAGATCAATGAGACAGAAAGTCAACAAGGATACCCAGGAATTGAACTAAGCTCTGCACCAAGCAGACCTAATAGACATTTACAGAACTCTCCACCCCAACTCAACAGAATATACATTTTTTTCAGCACCACACCACACCTATTCCAAAATTGACCACATAATTGGAAGTAAAGCTCTCCTCAGCAAATGTAAAAGAACAGAAATTATAACAAACTATCTCTCAGACCACAGTGCAATCAAACTAGAAGTCAGGATTAAGAATCTCACTCAAAACTGCTCAACTACATGGAAACTGAACAACCTGCTCCTGAATGACTACTGGGTACATAACGAAATGACGGCAGAAATAAAGATGTTCTTTGAAACCAACGAGAACAAACACACACCATACCAGAATCTCTGGGACGCATTCAAAGCAGTGTGTAGAGGGAAATTTATAGCACTACATGCCCACAAGAGAAAGCAGGAAAGATCCAAAATTGACACCCTAACATCACAATTAAAAGAACTAGAAAAGCAAGAGCAAACACATTCAAAAGCTAGCAGAAGGTAAGAAATAACTAAAATCAGAGCAGAACTGAAGGAAATAGAGACACAAAAAACCCTTCAAAAAATTAATGAATACAGGAGCTGGGTTTTTGAAAGGATCAACAAAATTGATAGACCGCTACCAAGACTAATAAAGAAAAAAAGAGAGAAAAATCAAATAGACACAGTAAAAAATGATAAAGGGGATATCACCACCAATCCCACAGAAATACAAACTACCATCAGAGAATATTACAAACACCGCTACGCAAATAAACTAGAAAATCTAGAAGAAATGGATAAATTCATCGACACATACACCCTCCCAAGACTAAACCAGGAAGAAGTTGAATCTCTGAATAGACCAATAACAGGATCTGAAATTGTGGCAATAATTAATAGCTTACCAACAAAAAAGAGTCCAGGACCAGATGGATTCACAGCGGAATTCTACCAGAGGTACAAGGAGGAACTGGTACCATTCCTTCTGAAACTATTCCAATCAATAGAAAAACAGGGAATCCTCCCTAACTCATTTTATGAGGCCAGCATCATTCTGATACCAAAGCCAGACAGAGACACAACCAAAAAAGAGAATTTTAGACCAATATCCTTGATGAACATAGATGCAAAAATCCTCAATAAAATACTGGCAAACCAAATCCAGCAGCACATCAAACAGCTTATCCACCATGATCAAGTGGGCTTCATCCCTGGGATGCAAGGCTGGTTCAATATACGCAAATCAATAAATGTAATCCAGCATATACACAGAACCCAAGACAAAAAACACATGATTATCTCAATAGATGCAGAAAAGGCCTTTGACAAAATTCAACAACGCTTCATGCTAAAAACTCTCAATAAATTAGGTATTGATGGGATGTATTTCAAAATAATAAGAGCTATCTATGACAAACCCACAGCCAATATCATACTGAATGGGCAAAACCTCGGAGCATTCCCTTTGAAAACTGGCACAAGACAGGGATGCCCTCTCTCACCACTCCTATTCAATATAGTGTTGGAAGTTCTGGCCAGGGCAATCAGGCAGGAGAAGGAAACAAAGGGTATTCAATTAGGAAAAGAGGAACTCAAATTGTACCTGTTTGCAGACGACATGATTGTATATCTAGTAAACCCCATTGTGTGAGCCCAAAATCTCCTTAAGCTGATAAGCAACTTCAGCAAAGTCTCGGGATACAAAATCAATGTACAAAAATCACAAGCATTCTTACACACCAACAACAGACAGAGAGCCAAATCATGAGTGAACTCCATTCACAATTGCTTCAAAGAGAATAAAATACCTAGGAATCCAACTTACAAGGGATGTGAAGGACCTCTTCAAGGATAACTACAAACCACTGCTCAAGGAAATAAAAGAGGACACAAACAAATGGAAGAACATTCCATGCTCATGGGTAGGAAGAATCAATATCGTGAAAATGGCCATACTGCCCAAGGTAATTTACAGATTCAATGCCATCCCCATCAAGCTACCAATGCCTTTCTTCACAGAATTGGAAAAAAACTACTTTAAAGTTCATATGGAACCAAAAAAGAGCCCGCATCGCCAAGTCAATCCTAAGCCAAAAGAACAAAGCTGGAGGCATCACACTACCTGACTTCAAACTATACTACAAGGCTACAGTAACCAAAACAGCATGGTACTGGTACCAAAACAGAGATATAGATCAATGGAACAGAACAGAGCCCTCAGAAATAATGCCGCATATCTACAACTATCTGGTCTTTGACAAACCTGACGAAAACAAGCAATGGGGAAAGGATTCCCTATTTAATAAATGGTGCTGGGAAAACTGGCAAGCCAGATGTAGAAAGCTGAAACTGGATCCCTTCCTTACACCTTATACAAAAATCAATTCAAGATGGATTAAAGACTTAAACGTTCGACCTAAAACCATAAAAACCCTAGAAGAAAACCTAGGCATTATCATTCAGGACATAGGCATGGGCAAGGACTTCAGGTCTAAAACACCAAAAGCAATGGCAACAAAAGCCAAAATTGACAAATGGGATCTAGTTAAACTAAAGTGCTTCTGCACAGCAAAAGAAACTACCATCAGAGTGAACAGGCAACCTACAAAATGGGAGAAAGTTTTCGCAACCTACTCATCTGACAAAGGGCTAATATCCAGAATCTACAAAGAACTCAAACCAATTTGCAAGAAAAAAACAAACAACCCCATCAATAAGTGGGCGAAGGATATGAACAGATATTTCTCAAAAGAAGACATTTATGCAGCCAACAGACACATGAAAAAATGCTCATCATCACTGGTCATCAGAGAAATGCAAATCAAAACCACAATGAGATACCATGTCACACCAGTTAGAATGGCAATCATTAAAAATTCAGGAAACAAAAGGTGCTGGGGAGGATGTGGAGAAATAGGAGCACTTTTACACTGTTGGTGGGACTGTAAAGTAGTTCAATCATTTTGGAAGTCGGTGTGGCGATTCCTCAAGGATCTAGAACTAGAAATACCATTTGACCCAGCCATCCCATTACTGGGTATATACCCAAAGGATTATAAATCATGCTGCTATAAAGGCACATGCACACATATGTTTACTGCGGCACTATTCACAATAGCGAAGACTTGGAACCAACCCATATGTCCAATAATGATAGACTGGATTAAGAAAATGTGACACATATACACCATATTATACTATGCAGCCATAAAAAAGGATGAGTTCATGTCCTTTGTGGGGACATGGATGAAGCTGGAAACCATCATTGTGAGCAAACTATCGCAAGGACAGAAAACCAAACACTACATGTTCTCACTCACAGGTGGGAATTAAACAGTGAGAACACTTGGACACAGGAAGGGGAACATCACACACCAGGGCTTGTCGTGGGGTGCGGGGAGGGGGGATGGATAGCATTAGGAGATATACCTAATGTAAATGATGAGTTAATGGGTGTAGCATGCCAACATGTCACATGTATACATATGTAACAAACGTGCATGTTGTGCACATGTACCCTAGAACTTAAAGTATAATAATAATAAAAAAATAAAATAAAGTAAAATAAAAAAGAAGGAAGGTTATAGCACTAAATGCCCACGTCAAAAATTTAGAAAGATCTCAAATTAACAACCTAACATCACAACTAGAGGCCCTAGATAAACAAGAGCAAACCAATATCAAAGCTAGCAGAAAACAAGAAATAACCAAAATCATACCTAAACTGAAGGAAATTGAGGTGTTTAAAGCCATACAAAATATCAATGAATCCAGGAGCTTGTTATTTGAAAGAATCAATGCAGTAGATAGACTGCTAGCCAGACTAATAATAAAACAGAGATGATCCAAATAAACATAATCAGAAATGAAAAAGAGAACATTATCTGACCCCACAAATATACAAAAAACACAGAGAGACTGTTATGAACACCTCTATGCACAGAAGTAGAAAATCTAAAAGAAATAGATATATTCCTGTACACATAAGCCTCCCAAGATTTAACCAGGAATTAAAACCCTGAACTGACCAATAATGAGTCTTGATATTGAGTCAATAATAAAAACCCTATAAACCAGAAACAGCCTAAGACAAGTAGAATTCACAGCTGAATTCTAGCAGATGTATAAAGAAGAGCTGGTACCATTTCAACTAAAACTATTCCAAAGAATTGAGGAAAAAGGAATCCTCCCTAACTCATTCTATGAAGCCAGTATCATCCTCATACCAATACTTGGCAGAAACACACCAAATAAAAGAAAACTTCAGACCAATATTCCTGATGAATATAAATGAAAAAATCCTCAAAGAATGACTAGCAAACTGAATCCAGCAGCACATCAAAATGCTAATCCACCATGATCAAGTACGCTTTATCCCCAGGATGTGGGGTTGGTTCAACATATGCAAATCCATAAATGGGATTCATCATATAAACAGAACTAAAAACAAACAAACAAACAAAACATGATCATCTCAATAGATGCAGAAAAGCCTTTTTGATAAAATTCAAAGTCCCTTCATGTTACAAACCCTCAACAAACTAGGCATTGAAGGAATATACTTCAAAATATTAAGAGCCATCTATGACTAACCCACTGGCAGCATCATACTGAATGAGCAAATGCTGGAAGAATTCTCTTTGAAAACCAGAACAAGACAAGAATGCCCTCTCTCACCACTCCTATTCAACATAGTACTGGAAGTCCTAACCAGAGCAATCAGGCAAGAGAAAAAAATAAAAGGCATTCAAATAGGAAGAGAGGAATTCAAACTATCCCTGTTTGCAGATGATATGTTACTATATCTAGAAAACCCCATAATCCCTCCCCAAAGGCTCTTTGATCTGATATACAACTTCAGCAAAGTTTCGTGATACAAAGTAAATGTACAAAAATCAGTAGCATTCCTATACACCAACAACATCCAAGCTGAGAGCCAAATCAAGAATGCAATTCTATTCACAATAGCCACAAAAAGTATAAAATACCTCAGAATACAGCTAACCAAGGAGGTGAAAGACCTGTACAACAATAATTACAAAACACTGCTCAAGGAAAGAAGAGAGGATACAAATGGAAAAACATTCCACGCTCACAGATAAGAAGCATCAATACTGACAAAATGGCCATACTACCCAAAGCAATTTACAGATTCAAAGCTATTACTATCAAACTACCAATAACATGCATTACAGAATTAGAAAAAAACTATTTTAAAATTAATATGGAAGCAAAAAAGAGCCTTAATAGTCAATCCTAAACAAAAAGAACAAAGCTGGAAGAACCACATTACCCAATTTCAAACTATACTACAAGGTACGGTAACCAAAACAACATGGCACTGGTAATAAAACAGACACGTACACCAATGAAGCAGAATAGAAAGCCCAGAAATAATGCTGCACACCTACACCAATCTGATTTTTGACAAAATCAGCAAAAACAAGCAATAGGGAAAGGACTCCCTATTCAATACATGGTGCTAAGATAACTGGCTAGCATACGCAGAAGACTGAAACTGAACCCCTTTCTTAAACCATATACAAAAAAAGATGGATTGAAGACATAAATTTAAAACCCAAAACTATAAAAACCCTGGAAGACAATCTAGGCAATACCATTCAGGACATAGGCATGGGCAAAGACTTCATGATGAAGATGTCAAAGGCAATTGTGACAAAAGCAAAAACTGACAAATGGGATTGAAGTAAACTAAAGAGCTTCTGCACACCAAAAGAAACTATCAACAGAGTAAGCAGACAACGTATAGTATGGTAAAAAAATTTTGCAAACTGCATCCAACAAAGGTCTAATATCCAGAATCTATAAGAAATGTAAACAAATTAACAAGCAAAAAAAAAAAAAAAAAAAAAAAAACAAAAAAAAAAAAACAGAGAAAAGGGGGAAGATGGAAGACAGGAAGCAGGACTAGCTTGCAGCTCCAGCTCACATGGACAGAGCAGAGTGTGGAGACTCATATCATGAACTTTTGCTCCAGAAATACTGCAGGAATATGTCAGAAAAGCGGAGAGAATCTACAGACCCTCTGAAAGAAGTACATCGCTGCTGCAGGATCTGGGAGAAAGCCCAAATACTGTGAGAGCCCAAGCTGTGAGAGTGGGAAAGAGGGATCGTCTACCCTCAAATACACACCTTCACTGGGGAACCTGAAGGTCTAGATCATGGGAGAATGACTTGAGCTTACCTGGAGCTGAGTCAATTTAGAGAGCTGAGCAAAACACAGGGGTAGTAGAAGAAGCAGTGGGAAAAGCCCTGTGCGCTATCTGGGTCCCCAGGGAAGCCATTTCTGACTTGTCTCACAGAGGTTCTTGGGGAGGGCTGACAGAGGAACTGGGAAAAGACCACAGGGAGAAGGAAACCTCCAACTGAACTTTGTAAGAATTCCAACTGAATGCAAAGTCTCCTGGCCAGAACTCGGGGAAGGGCATGATTCTGGTGTGCAGATTCAACAGGTGGGGAGGCAACAAAGTGAGAGGTGACAGCGTGCTGGCAGTCCTCACAGCCCTTGCTCACTCTTGGCACCTCCTCTGCCTGGGCTCCCAGTTTGGCGGCATTTGAGGAGCCCTTCAGCCCACCACTGCACTGTGGGAGCCCCTTTCTAGGCTGGCCAAGGCTGGAGCCCACTCCCTCAGCTTGCAGGGAGGTGTGGAGGGAGAGGCGGGAGCGGGAACCGGGGCTGCATGCGGCGCTTGCGGGCCAGCTGGAGTTCCGGGTAGGTGTGGGCTTGGCGGGCCCCGCGCTCGGAGCAGCCAGCCAGCCCTGCCAGCCCCGGGCAATGAGGGACTTAGCACCCGGGCCAGTGGCTGCAGAAGGTGTACTGGGTCCCCCAGCAGTGCCAGCCCACCAGCGCTGCGCTCAATTTCTCACCGAGCCTTAGCTGCCTTCCCGTGGGGCAGGGCTCAGGACCTGCAGTCTGCCATGCCTAAGCCTCCCACCCACTCCATGGGCTCCTGTGCGGCCCGAGCCTCCCCGACGAGCACCACCCCCTGCTCCATGGCACCCAGTCCCATCGACCACCCAAGGAAGGGCTGAGGAGTGCGAGCGCATGGCGCGAGACTGGCAGGCAGCTCCTGCAGCCCTGGTGTAGGATCCACTAGGTGAAGCCAGCTAGGCTCCTGAGTCTGGTGGGGACGTGGAGAGTCTTTATATCTAGCTCAAGGATTGTAAACACACCAATCAGCACCCTGTGTCTAGCTCAAGGTTTGTGAGTGCACCAATTGACACTCTGTATCTAGCTGCTCTGGTAAGGATGTGGAGAGTCTTTATGTACAGCTCAGGGATTGTAAATACACCAATCAGCACCCTGTGTTTAGCTCAAGGTTTGTGAGTGCACCAATCGACACTCTGTGTCTAGCTGCTCTGGTGGGGCCTTGGAAAACCTTTATGTCTAGCTCAAGGTTTGTAAACACACCAATCAGCACCCTGTGTTTAGCTCAAGGTTTATGAATGCACCAATCGACACTCTGGTGTCTAGCTGCTCTAGTAGGGCCTTAGAGAACCTGTGTGTCGAAACTCTGTATCTAACTAATCTGAAAAGGATGTGGAGAACCTTTTTATCTAGCTCAGGGATTGTAAACGCACCAATCAGCGCCCTGTCAAAACAGGCCACTTGGCTCTACCAATCAGCAGGATGTAGGTGAGGCCAGATAAGAGAATAAAAGCAGGCTGCGCTAGCCAGCAGTGGCAACCCACTCAGGTCCCCTTCCACACTGTGGAAGCTTTGTTCTTTCACTCTTTACAATAAATCTTGCTACTGCTCACTCTTTAGGTCCACGCTGCTTTTATGAGCTGTAACACTCACCGCAAAGATCTGCAGCTTCACTCCTGAGCCCAGAGAGACCACGAGCCCACCGGGAGGAACAAACAACTCCAAATGCGCTGCCTTAAGAGCTGTAACACTCACCATGAAGGTCTGCAGCTTCACTCCTGAGCCAGTGAGACCACGAACCCACCAGAAAGAAGAAACTCCGAACACATCTGAACATCAAAAAGGACAGACTCCAGACTCACCATCTTAAGAGCTGTAACACTCACCGTGAGGGTCCGCGGCTTCATTCTTGAAGTCAGTGAGACCAAGAACCCACCAATTCCGGACACATTTTGGTGACCACGAAGGGACTTTCGCCTATCGCCAAGCGGTGAGACAATTGCCAAGCGGTGAGACCATCGCCTATCGCTGAGCGGTGAGACTTTCGCCTATCGCCAAGCAGTGAGTACCATCGGACCCCTTTCACTTGCTATTCTGTCCTATCTTTCCTTAGAATTCGGGGGCTAAAAACTGGGCACCTGTCGGCCAGTTAAAAGCGACTAGCGCAGCCGCCGGACTAAAGACACGGGTGTCAGGCTTTCTGGGAAAGGGCTAACAACCCCCGACTCTTCGGAGTTGGGACCGTTGGTTTGCCTAGAACCAGCTTCCGCTTTTCCTGTACTTCTGGGCTGAGCCGAGGGTCAACAGAGAGGAAAGCCATGCAGCTCCGGGGTCCCGACAACATGTTGGTTGACCCTGCGGCCATGAGTGGAACTCTCACAAGCATGTCGCCCAAGCGAGACTCGCCCATCTATCCTATCTATCCTGACCTTTGCCCTCTGGGTCCTAATGCCTGCCAGAGAAACTTCCTCTCACCTCTCTTCTCTGAGGTTAGACCCACCTCTAAAAATTGCTACCTGTCTCTAGTGCTTTTCTAGTTTCTCCTATAAGAATGACTTCTAGTATAAACTCCAGGACTCTGTTACCTTCTTTAGGCACCTGGGCTCACCAATCGGAAAGACATAATTTTTGCCCAAAGCCCCGTTGTAGTGGGGACTACCTGGAATTTTAGGATCCCTCCTCAGACTAACAGGCCTAACAAAAGCTATTCCTGCAGCTAGGATATGGGGAGCCTCAGAAATTGTATCCTTCCTATTTATATAAGTGAGGACAAAAGGTGTCACTCCTCCAGCCCTAGAGATCCTTTCCCTCCCTCAGGGTATGGCCCTCCACTTCATTTTTAGGGCATAACATCTTTATAGGACAGGGGTAAAGTCCCAATACTAACAGGAGAATGCTTAGGACTCTAACAGGTTTTTGAGAATGCGTCGGTAAGGGCCACTAAATCCGATTTTTCTCGGTCGGTCCTCCTTGTGGTCTAGGAGGACAGGCAAGGGTGCAGGTTTTCAAGAATGCGTCGGTAAGGACCACTAAATCCGACCTTCCTCGGTCCTCCATGTGGTCTGGGAGGAAAACTAGCGTTTCTGCTGCTGCGTCGGTAAGTGCAACTATTCCGATCAGCAGGGTCCAGGGACCATTGCGGGTTCTTGGGCAGGGGTTGTTTCTGCTGCTGCGTCAGTGAGCGCAACTATTCCGATCAGCAGGGTCCAGGGACCATTGCGGGTTCTTGGGCAGGGGTTGTTTCTGCTGCTGTGTCGGTGAGCGCAACTATTCTGATCAGCAGGGTCCAGGGACCATTGCAGGTTCTTGGGCAGGGAGAGAAACAAAATAAACCAAAACCATGGGCGGTTTTGTCTTTCAGATGGGAAACACTCAGGCATCAACAGGCTCACCCTTGAAATGCATCCTAAGCCATTAGGACCAATTTGACCCACAAACCCTGAAAAAGAGGTGGCTCACTTTTTTCTGCACTACGGCTTGGCACCAATATTCTCTTTCTGATGGGGAAAAATGGCCACCTGAGAGAAGTACAAATTTCAATACTATCCTGCAGTTTGATCTTTTCTGTAGGAGGGAAGGCAAATGGAGTGAAATACCTTATGTCCAAGCTTTCTTTTCACTGAGGGAGAATACACGACTATGCAAAGCTTGCAATTTACATCCCACAGGAGGACCCCTCAGCTTACCCCCATATCCTAGCCTCCTTATAGCTCCCCTTCCTGTTGATGATACTCCTCCTCTAATCTCCCCTGCCCAAAAGGAAATAAGCAAAGAAATCTCCAAAGGTCCACAAAAAACCCCAGGCTATCGGTTATGTCCCCTTCAAGCTGTAGGGGGAGGGGAATTTGGCCCAACCCAGGTACATGTCCCCTTCTCCCTCTCTGATTTAAAGTAGATCAAGGCAGACCTGGGGAAGTTTTCAGATGATCCTGATAGGTACATAGATGTCCTACAGGGTCTAGGGCAAACCTTTGACCTCACTTGGAGAGACGTCATGCTACTGTTAGATCAAACCCTGGCCTTTAATTAAAAGAATGCGGCTTTAGCTGCAGCCCGAGAGTTTGGAGATACCTGGTATCTCAGTCAAGTAAATGATAGAATGACAGCTGAAGAAAGGGACAAATTCCCTACTGGTCAGCAAGCAATCCCCAGTATGGACCCCCACTAGGACCTTTACTCAGATCATGGGGACTGGAGTTGTAAACATCTGTTGACCTGTGTTCTAGAAGGACTAAGGAGAATTAGGAAAAAGCCCATAAATTATTCAATGATATCCACCATAACCCAGGGAAAGGAATAAAATCCTTCTGCCTTCCTCGAGCGGCTACGAGAGGCCTTAAGAAAATATACTCCCCTATCACCCGAATCACTCGAGGGTCAATTGATTCTAAAAGATAAGTTTATCACCCAATCAGCCGCAGATATCAGGAGAAAGCTCCAAAAGCAAGCCCTGGGCCCTGAACAAAATCTAGAGGCATTATTAAACGTGGCAAACTCAGTGTTCTATAATAGGGACCAAGAAGAACAGGCCCAAAAGGAAAAGCGAGATCAGAGAAAGGCCGCAGCCTTAGTCATGGCCCTCAGACAAACGGTTGAGAGAGGTCAGAAAATGGAGCAGGCCAACCACCTGGTAGGGCTTGTTATCAGTGTGGTTTACTAGGACACTTTAAAAAAGATTGTCCAATGAGAAACAAGCTGCCCCCTCATCCATGTCCACTATGCCAAGGCAATCACTGGAAGGTGCACTGCCCCAGAGGACGAAGGTTCCCTGGGTCAGAAGCCCCCAACCAGATGATCCAACAACAGGACTGAGGGTGCCCGGGGCAAGCGCCAGCTCATGTCATCACCCTCACTGAGCCCCAGGTATGTTTAACTATTGAGGGCCAGGAAATTGACTTCCTCCTGGACACTGGTGCGGCCTTCTCAGTGTTAATCTCCTGTCCTAGACAACTGTCCTCAAGATCCGTTACCATCCGAGGAATCCTAGGACAGCCTGTAATCAGGTATTTCTCCCACCTCATCAGTTGTAATTGGGAGACTTTGCTCTTTTCACATGCCTTTTTTGTTATGCCTGAAAGTCCCACACTATTATTAGGGAGGGATATATTAGCCAAGGCTGGAGCTATTATCTACATGAATATGAGGAACAAGTTACCCATTTGTTGTCCCCTACTTGAGGAAGGAATCAACACTGAAGTCTGGGCATTAGGAGGACAATTTGAAAGGGCAAAAAAATGCCTGCACAGTCACGCAATGCAAAAACACAAAGAGGTAGGAATCGTACACTGACAAAGCCATAAAAATGGGAAGGAGAGGGGAGAGCAGCAGCATAAGTGGCTGGCAGAAGTAAGGAAAGACCAGAAAGAAGGAAAGAGAGAAAAACATCAGAGAACGAGAGAGAGAAAGAAACAGAGACAAGGAGAAGGAGTCAGAGAGAAAGAGGGACAGACACAGAAAGTCAAAGAGAGAGTTAAAAAGAGAGAAAGAGACAAAAAAGAAGTCGAAGAGAGAAAGAGATGAAAGTAGTAAAGAAAAAACAGTGTACCCTATTCCTTTAAAAGCCAAGGTAAATTTCTATCTACACAGCCAAGGCATATTCTACTTATGTGGATCTTCAACCCATATCTGCCTCTCAGACAGTTTGCAAGAAATAACAAAATCTATTCTTCCTTTACAATCCCAAACAGACTCTTTGGCAGCAGTGACTCTCCAAAACCACTGAGGCCTAGACCTCCTCACTGCTGAAAAAGGAGGACGCTACACCTTCTTAGGGGAAGAGTGTTGTTTTTACACTAACCAGTAAGGGATAGTATGAGATGCCGCCTGGGGTTTACAGGAAAAGGCTTCTGAAATCAGACAACGCCTTTCAAATTCTTATACCAATCTCTAGAGTTAGGCAACATGGCTTCTCCCCTTTCTAGGTCCCGTGTCAGCCATCTTGCTGTTACTCACCTTTAGGCCCTGTATGTTTAACCTTCTTGTCAAATTTGTTTCCTCTAGAATCGAGGCCATCAAGCTACAGATGGTCTTACAAATGGAACCCCAAATGAGTTCAACTAACAACTTCTACTGGGGACCCCTGGACCGACCCACTGGCACTTCCCCTGGCCTAGAGAGTTCTCCTCTGAAGGACACTACAACTGCAGGGCCCCTTCTTTGCCCCTACCCAGCAGGAGGTAGCTAGAGCGGTCATTGGCCAAATTCCCAACAGCAGTTGGGGTGTCCTGTTTAGAGGGGGGATTGAGAGGTGACAGTGTGCTGGCAGTCCTCACAGCCCTCACTCGCTCTTGGCACTTCCTCTGCCCGGGCTCCCAGTTTGGCGGCATTTGAGGAGCCCTTCAGCCCACCACTGCACTGTGGGAGCCCCTTTCTAGGCTGGCCAAGGCTGGAGCCCACTCCCTCAGCTTGCAGGGAGGTGTGGAGGGAGAGGCGGGAGCGGGAACCGGGGCTGCATGCGGCGCTTGTGGGCCAGCTGGAGTTCCGGGTAGGCGTGGGCTTGGCGGGCCCCGCACTCGGAGCAGCCGGCCAGCCCTGCCAGCCCCGGGCAATGAGGGACTTAGCACCCGGGCCAGTGGCTGCAGAAGGTGTACTGGGTCCCCCAGGAGTGCCAGCCCACCAGCGCTGCGCTCAATTTCTCACCGAGCCTTAGCTGCCTTCCCGCGGGGCAGGGCTCAGGACCTGCAGTCTGCCATGCCTAAGCCTCCCACCCACTCCATGGGCTCCTGTGTGGCCCGAGCCTCCCCGACGAGCACTTCCCCCTGCTCCATGGCACCCAGTCCCATCGACCACCCAAGGGCTGAGGAGTGTGAGCGCACGGTGCGAGACTGGCAGGCAGCTCCACCTGCAGCCCCGGTGTAGGATCCACTAGGTGAAGCCAGCTAGGCTCCTGAGTCTGGTGGGGACGTGGAGAGTCTTTATATCTAGCTCAAGGATTGTAAACACACCAATCAGCACCCTGTGTCTAGCTCAAGGTTTGTGAGTGTACCAATCGACACTCTGTATCTAGCTGCTCTGGTGGGGCCTTGGAGAACCTTTATGTCTAGCTCAAGGATTGTAAATACACCAATTGACACTCTGTATCTAGCTGCTCTGGTGGGGCCTTGGAAAACCTTTATGTCTAGCTCAAGGATTGTAAATACACCAATCAGCACTCTATATCTAGCTCAAGGTTTGTAAACACACCAATCAGCACCCTGTGTTTAGCTCAATGTTTGTGAATGCACCAATCGACACTCTGTGTCTAGCTGCTCTAGTAGGGCCTTAGAGAACCTGTGTGTCGAAACTCTGTATCTAACTAATCTGATAAGGACATGGAAAACCTTTGTATCTAGCTCAGAGATTGTAAACACCCCAATCAGCGCCCTGTCAAAACAGGCCACTCGGCTCTACCAATCAGCAGGATGTAGGTGAGGCCAGATGAGAGAATAAAAGCAGGCTGCCCGAGCCAGCAGTGCAACCCGCTCAGGTCCCCTTCCACACTGTGGAAGATTTGTTCTTTCGCTCTTTACAATAAATCTTGCTACTGCTCACTCTTTAGGTCCACGCTGCTTTTATGAGCTGTAACACTCACTGCGAAAATCTGCAGCTTCACTCCTGAGCCCAGCGAGACCACGAGCCCACCGGGAGGAAAAAACAACTCCAAACGCGCTGCCTTAAGAGCTGTTACACTCACCGCGAAAGTCTGCAGCTTCACTCCTAAGCCAGCGAGACCACGAACCCACCAGAAAGAAGAAACTCCGAACACATCTAAACATCAAAAAGGACAGACTCCAGAGGCACCACCTTAAGAGCTGTAACACTCACCGCAAGGGTCCGTGGCTTCATTCTTGAAGTCAGTGAGACCAAGAACCCACCAATTCCGGACACAAAAGCACTGCTTGCTTTCTCAGCTGGGAGGCTGGTAGCCTGGGCAAGTTCTCAGCCCTGCTCACCCACTGCCTGGAAACAAACTTGGTGCTGTTGGGGAGAGCATGATGGGAGTCAGACCGACCTTTTGGGTTGTGTGGGAGCTGGGTGAGGCCTGTAACTGCCAGCTTTCCCCCACTTCCCTGATAACTTGGATGACACAACAGAGACAGCCATAATCCTCCTGGGAACATAACTCCATTGATTTGGGAACCACACCCCTATCCCCCACAGCAGCCTCAGCAAGCTCAGCCCAAAGAGAGTCTGAGCTCGTACATGCCTAACCCTGCCCCCACCTAATGGTCTTTCTCTACCCATCCTGGTAGCTGAAGACAAAGGGCATATTCTATAGAGAGTTCTAGAGCTCCACCGATCACCTGATCCTTCCTATACTACCATAGCTGATGCTCTCTTGAAAGCCTGCCATGTCCTGGCAGGAGGCCAACGAGCATAAAAATAGTGCATTAAACAACCAAAACTAAGGACTCTCACAGAGTCCATTTCACTCCCCTGTCACCTCCACCAGAGCAGGTGCTGGTATCCATGGCTGAGAGACCTGAAGACAGTTCACATCACAGGACTCTGTGCAGACAACCCCCAGTACCAACCTGGAGCCTGGGAGCCCTGCTGGGTGGCTAGAGCCAGAAAAGAAATAACAATCATTAGAGTTCGGCTCTCAGGAAGCCACATCCCTAGGAAAATGGGAAGAGTACTACCTCAAGAGAACACCCCATGGGACAAAAGAATCTGAAAAAGCAGCATTGAGACCCAGATCTTCCCTATGACATAGCCTACCCAAATGAGAAGAAACCAGAAAAACAATTCTGGTAACATAAAAAAAAAAAAACAACCTTCTTTAACACCCCCCAAAAATCACACTAGCTCACCAGCAATGGATCCAAACCAAAAAGAAATCCCGGATTTACCTGAAAAAGAATGCGGAAGGTCAAGTATTAACTTAATCAAGGAGGCACCAGAGAAAGGTAAAATCCAATTTAAGGAAATGAAAAAATGATACAAGATATGAGGGGAGAAATATTCAGTGAAATAGATAGCGTAAATAAAAAACAATCACAACTTCAAGAAATAAAGGACACATTTAGCAAAATGCAAAATGTACTGGAAAGTCTTAGCAATAGAATCGAACAAGCAAAAGAAAGAACCTCAGAGCTCGAAGACAAGGCTTTTGATTTAACCAAATCCAACAAAGACAAAGAAAAAATAATTTTAAAAAATGAACAAAGCCTCCAAGAAGGTTGGGATTATGTTAAATGACCAGACCCAAGAATAATTAGTGTTCCTGAGGAAGAAGAGAAATCTAAAAGTCTGAAAAACATATTTGGGGGAATAATTGAGGAAAACTTCCCTAGCCTTGCTGGAGACCTAGATGTTCAAATACAAAAAGCTCAAAGAACACCTGGGAAATTCACCACAAAAAGATCATTGTCTAGGTACATCATCATCAGGTTTTCTAAAGTCAAGACAAAGGAAAGAATCTTAAGAGCTCTGAGGCAAAAACACCAGGGAACCTATAAAGGAAAATCTATCAGAATAACGCAGATTTCTCAGCAGAAACCCTACAAGTTAGAAGGGATTGGGGTCCTATTGTTAACTTCCTTAAATAAATTATCAGCTAAGAATTTTGTATGCAGCAAAACTAAGCATCATAAATGAAGGAGAGATAGCCTTTTTCAGACAAACAAATACTGACAGAATTTGCCACTACCAAGCCAGCACTACAAGAAATACTAAAAGGAATCCTAGATATTGAAACAAAACCTTGAAATACACCAGAAGAGGACCTCCTTAAAGCATAAATCTCACAGGACCTATAAAACAATAACACAATAAAAAAAACAAGGTATTCAGGTAACAACTAGCATAATGAATGAAATAGTATCTCAAATCTCAATACTAATATTGAATGTAAATGGCCTAAATGCTCTACTTAAAAGATTACAGAATTGCAGAATGGGTAAGAATTAACCAACCAAGTATCTGCCATCTTCAAGAGACTCACCCAACACATAAGGACTCACATAAACTTAAGATAAAGGGGTGGAAAAAGATATTCCATGCAAATGGACACCAAAAGCGAGCTGGAGTAGCTATCCTTATATCAGACAAAAAGAACTTTGAAGCAAAAGCAGTTAAAAAAGACAGGCCAGGCGTGGTGGCTCACACCTGTAATCCCAGCAATTTGGGAGGCCAAGGCGGGTGGATCACTTGAGGTCAGGAGTTTGAGATCAGCCTGGCCAACATGGCAAAACCCTGTCTCTACTAAAAATGCAAAAATTAGCTGGGCGTGGTGGCGTGCACCTATAGTCCCAGCTACTAGGGAGGCTGAGGCAGGAGAATCGCTTGAACCCGGGAGGCGGAGGTTTTGCTGAGCCAAGATCGCACCACTGCGCTCCAGCCTGGGTGACAGATTGAGACTCCATCTCAAAAAAAAAAAAAAAAAAAGACACAGAGCGACATTATATAATGATAAAAGGCCTTGTCCAACAGGAAACTATCACAATCCTAAGAATATATGCACCTAACAGTGGAGCTCCCAAATTTATAAAACAATTACTACTAGACCTAAGAAATGAGATAGCAACATGATAATAGTGTGAAACTTCAATACTCCACTGACAGCACTAGACAGGTCATCAAGACAGAAAGTCAACAAAGAAACAATGGACTTAAACTATACTCTGGAACAAATGGACTTAACAGATACTTACAGAACATTCTATCTAACAACCACAGAGTATACATTCTATTCATCAGCACATGGAACTTTCTGCAAGATAGAACACATGATAGGCCACAAAACAAGTCTTAATAAATTTAAGAAAATCAAAATTATATCAGGTACTCTCTCAGCCACAGTGGAATAAAATTTGAAATCAACTCCAAAAGGAACCCTCAAAACCATGCCAATATATGGAAATTAAATAGCCTGCTCCTAAATGATCATTGAGTCAACAATGAAATCAAGATGGAAATTAAAATCAAAACCACAGTGCAATAACACTTTACTCCCACAAGAATGGCCATAATTAAAAAACCAAAAAAAATAATAGATGTTGGTGTGGATGCAGTGAAAAGGGAACACTTCTACACTGCTGGTGGGAATGTCAACTAATGGAAAACAGTGTGGAGATTCCTTAAAGAACTAAAAGTAGAACTACCATTTGATCCAGCAATCTTACTCCTAGGTATCTACCCAGAGGAAAAGAAGTCATTATCTGAAAAAGACATTTGCACATACATGTTTATAGCAGCAAAATTTACAATTGCAAAAATATGGAACCCACCCAGATGGCCATCAATCAACAAGTGAATAAAGAAACTGTAGTATATATACACTGTGGAATACTACTCAACCATAAAACGGAACGAATTAATGGCATTTGCAGCAACCTGGATGGGATTGGAGACTATTAGTCTAAGTGAAGTAACTCAGGAATGGAAAACCAAACATCATATGTTGTCACTCGTAAGTGGGAGCTAAGCTATAAGGATGCAAAGGCATAAGAATGATACAACAGACTTTGGAGATTCAGGGGAAAAGGGTGGGAAGGGGGTGAGGAATAAAAAGCTACAAAATGGGTTCAATGTATCCTGCTCAGGTGATGGGTAAACCAAAATATTACAAATCACCACTAAAGAACTTACTCACAGCCAGGCACAGTGGCTCATGCCCGTAATCCCAGCACTTTGGGAGGCCTAGGTGGGCAGATCACCTGGGGTCGGTAGTTCAAAACCAGCCTGACCAACATGGAGAAACCCAGTCTCCGCTAAAAATACAAAACTGGCCAGGCATGGTGGCGCATGCCTGTAATCCCAGCTATTCGGGAGGCTGAGGCAGGAGAATCACTTGAACCCGGGAGGCGGAGGTTGCGGTGAGCCGAGATCGTGCCACTGCACTCCAGCCTGGGCAACAAAGAGCGAAACTCCGTCTCAAAAAAAAGGAAAGAAAAAAAAGAACTTACTCATGTAACCAAATACCACCTGTTCCCCCAAAACCTACGGAAATTTTAAAAATGATAAAAAAGGACAAAATTTTTAAATAACCCCGCCCCCACCCAAAAAAAGAAAACAGAACATTTAATGATGGTTAATATCAAAATTATTTTGGGTCCAATAAGAGATGAGGTGTTCCATCTTTTTACAACCTTATTTTAAAAGCAAATAAAATATTCAGTTTATTTGTTTGTAAAACAAGTATTTGATACAAGTTTAATGGGGTGAATAAATCTCAAATATGTACAAATAAGTGGGGAAAGTACAGAGATGGACAGGTCAATGTAGGCATCAATTTACTACAGGTACTTCTCATTCTGAAAGTAAATCTGCAATTCATTTTAGAAAAAGTGCGATGGGAAAGGAACAGAACGGAGGTAAATGACAAAATATACTAGTAGCATACCTAATGAATCACAGATTTGTCTTATTTTCTCATCTGTCCATGATACTTGCTAATTATTTCATTTATTTCAGGGACAAGCTAAAAAACAGGCAGCAATGCCTGCAAGCTGACTGAGCCCGTAGCTTTGAATTGAGGGGGACAGTGGGAGGGCAACCTCTCACTGTATTTAATACATAAAACAGAAATCCAAAACACTTACCAATTTGTACTTGTTTGGGCTGGCTAAGGGAAACAAATGCTGATGTGTCACAGTCCAGGATATGTGAATGTTGCCTGCAATCACAAATTAAAAGTAAAGTGAACATTTGAAAAAAAAAAACAAAAAACAAGCAAAAACCAAAAAACCCTGTTAAAATGTGTGAAAAGGACCTGGACAGACACTTTTCAAAAGAAAATATACACGTGGCCAACAAGCATATGAGAAAATGCTCAACATTGCATAGTAATGTTTGGAAACTATTTTTGAAATTATAAGATTAAATGCATATGGAAAGTGAAACATAGCATTTAAAAACTACACAAAAATCAATTCACCAAGTCCTTCAATGATTTAATTCAAATATTGCTTGAACCCCCATTATGGGTCTAATATGATAGTTACTTAAAGATGATAAAGAGACATATATGATCCAGGCCCATGAATAATTTAAAGAGCAATTCTGAAGTCGTACAATTCATGCTTTACATACAACTTTAGGAGATCCGGTGTGGGGAAAGATTTTTGTAATACATACAACCAACAGGAAACTTATATCAGAATATATAAATGTGCTTGTATATAAAAAAGAACATGAAAATCAGCAGGAGGCTTGATCAAGCATTTCACAAAAGAGGATACCCCAATTACTGATACAAATTTTTTACAGTGCTAAATTTCATAGGGAAAGTGCAAATTACAAAAAGAAAATACAAATTGAAAATGTAGAGATACCACTGCACATTAGCAGAATACCAAAACTGAAAAGGATGTACAATATCAAGTATTGCTGAAGATACATGATTCAGAGATTCTACTCCCAAGTCTATTCACAAAAGAAATGCATGCACATGTACACCCAAGGGATGTATATAAGAATATTTATAGCAGCGTTATTCATGATGACCCCAAAATGGAAACAACCCAAATGTCCATGCAATGGAATATTCATGCAATGGAATACTACATGGTAATAAAAAATTATACAGCTATATGTCACAACGTGGATCACAAAGAGAAGATTAAATAAAAACACCAGATGTAGAAAATAACTATATGATTCCATTAAATAAAATTTAAAAGAAGGCAAGTGTAACCAAAGTAAGGATGTCTTTAGTTTTCTTTTGTGGAGAAGAGAAGATTTATTACTGGGGGCTCCTGGGAATTTGTTAATGCTCTGTTTCTTCACCTGGGTGGTAGCTGCTTGGATATGCTCAGATTTTAAAGAATTCATAGAATTGTTCATTTATCTTTTATACACTTTTATTTACATTATTCACAATAAAAATGTTAAAAAAAAAGAATTGGAAAGAAGGCTATTTGGTGAGTAGAGGATCTGAGCAGATGAATTTGAATGGTCTTAAGGATTGGGGGCATCAAGCTATTATATAGTCTCATGAACCCACCTTTGTTATGAAGTTAGCTCCATGGAGGAGGCTGTCGTAGTTTGTCCGACTTTCTCTTCTCCAGAAAGTGTTACAGACAACATGCTCAACACTATCCCTACTGAGTGGAAACTGACATTCCTATTTTTATCTGTTATTACAATATCATTCTTCTCAAATGCAATTTCTTTTCAGAATAGGTTGGTAATTGGTAAATAGGGAGGAGACAGGAGAAGTGTTTAAAATATGGAAAGAGGGTTGAAAAACAGGGTTTAAAAATCATGTTGATTTTAATTATCATATACAATGAGTACAAAAGAGGAATAAAATGATAACAAGCCCCTTACAGACAAAATTATTGTAAGACTAAACTAGAATGACCAACCATCCCATTTTGTCCGAGGATATTCTGGTATTGACAGTCCTGCATCATATTTAAATCCTAAACTTAAAATATCGTTGCTGATTATGTGCTAGGTTAATGATTTTCCCCCGATCTTGCTAATAATCTGAATGAGCTAGAGAATAAGTTATATTTCAGAAACTTTCCATGATATGTGAATTCTTCATCATTTTTATGTCAAATTTATTATTTAGTCAGGTGCAGTGGCTCACCCCTGTAATCCTAGCATTTTGGGAGGCTGAGGCAGGAGGATCATTTGCACTCAGGAGTTCAATAGCACCCTGGGCAACATAGTGAGACCTCATCTCTACTTTTTTAAAAAAGAAAAAATTTATTATCTTAAAAAACAGAAAACAATATTAAAAAATCATTAAACTTTTAAAAATTGACCAATCATCTGTTTCACCTTTCAATTTTTCTCCATATGAATGTGCTTTACCTAATTAATACTTTTTGTTAATTTAGCCTTTCTCTTTGGTATTATACTGCAGGCATTTAAACATGTCATTGACATGCCTATCAATCTTTTCTTGTGTTATTTCATCTGCTGCTTCAAACATTGGAGAATTGTAATCCCTGTGGATTCTTCTTAGTTTCAATTAAATAAAATGACTCTTCCAGTCCCCAATCTCTTATCCTTTCCTTGACCTTCGCTTTAAACATTCCTTGTTATACATAGACCCCAAAGGCAGATCTGACTTTTAATCCTGAAGCCCTTGTTTACCTTTTACATATAAAAGGATCAGATAAGGGGAAAAGATATTTCAATTTATAAGGGTTTATAAGTAAAGGTTAAACAAACTGGGCTTGTTGAGCTTTGAAACTGGATTAGCTTATTGATGTGGGGGAGAAGAATTGAGGAATTTTAAAGAAAAGACTTCAAGTAGATGAAAGAATAGATAGTATTGAGCAACTGTTCTCCACTTCTGTTGAGAATGAAAGGAAATGGACATACTAGGGGGAGAAGGATTTAGTCTTGGAAATATAGAAATTATACCCAGCTATTGGGATTAATATATTGGGAGACAAGACAGCCAAAAAAAAAAAAAGGATTAAGTTGATCTTGCCTTGGTTGCAAAGTTATATACTACACAATAACAATTAAAAAATTTGTATAGCATTTTGAAGTTTACAAAACAATTTATCATAATTACTTCATTTGAACCTCACAGCAACCTCGTGAAGGAGGTATTTTATTCACTTAGGGAGAGTATTATATTTACTTAAATCTACTTAAGGGTGAGGAAACTGAATTTGAATTGCCAAACATCCAAGAAGCTGGCAAGTAATACAACATGATTTTTTTTTAAAGTTTTATTAGCTATAATTCATATACTATATAATTCACCTATAAAGTGTATGATTCAATAGTTTTTAGTATATTCATGGAGTTTCGCAACCATCACCACAATCAACTTTAGAACATATTTTTATTGCTTCAAAAAGAAACCTCATATACATTAGCAGGTATTCCAATTCCCCAGCACTAGGCAATCACTAATCTAACATTCTATCTTTACAGATTTGTTATTCTGGCCATTTCATATAAATGGAATCATATATGGTATTTTTTGTTTTTTTCACTTAGCATAATGTTTGCAAGGTCCATCCATGTTGTAGCATGTATCAACACCTAATTCCTTTGTATGGCTCGATAATATTTCTGTCTTGGTCTGTTTGTAATGTTATTACAGAGTTTCTGATAAGGGGTAATTTATAAAGAACAGAGATTTATTTTTTACAGTTCTGGAGACTGGGAAGTCCAAGGTTGAAGGCTCTGCATCTGACAAGGGCCTTCTTTCTGCATCACCCTATGTTGGAAAGCAGAAGGTGAAAGGGCAAGAAAGCATGCGTGTGCATGTTAGAGATCAAACTCACAACCTCAAGCCCTTTATTTATTTATTTATTTATTTATTTAGAGATGGAGACTTGCTCTGTCACCCAGGCTGGAATGCAGTGGCATGATCTTGGCTCACAACAACTTCTGCCTCCTGAGTTCAAGCGATTCTCCTGCCTCAGCCTCTTGAGGAGCTGGGATTAAAGCATGTGCCACCACACCCAGCTAATTTTTGTATCTTTAGTAGAGATGGGGTTTCGCCATGTTGGCCAGGCTGGTCTTGAACTCCTGACCTCAAGTGATCCACTGGCCTAGACCTCCCAAAGTGCTGCGATTACAGGATTGAACCACTGCACCCAGCCCTCAAGTCCTTTAGTAATCAACATTAGTTCATTCATGAGAATGTAGCCCTCATGACCTAAATATCACTCATCAGGCCTCACCTAATAGGAATTAGGCTGAATTGGGGATTAAGTTTCCAAAACATGCTTTTCAGGGGACATACTTAAACCATAGCAATTTTATTGTATGGATATACCACATTTTGTTCATTCAGTCACCAGTTGATGAACATTTAAGTTGTTTCTACTTTTTGGCTATTCTAAACAATGCTGCTATAAACATTCATGTTCAGGCTTTTGTGTAGACATATTTTCATTTACAACTTGATCTGCAACCCCAGTTTTTTGTCATAGGCAGAATTCTAAGATGGCCACTATCATTTCCACCCTCTAGTATATATACCCTACATAATCCCCTCCACTTGAGTGTGGGCAGGACTTGTGAATATGGATGGGATAACACTCCCCTGATTTGATTATGTTACATGGCAAAGAGAAGGGAATTTGCTGATGTAATTAAGGCACTGAATCAGTTGACTTTAAGTTAATCAAAAAAGAGATTATCTTGGGTGGGTCTTATCTAATCAGGCAAGCCCTTTAAAAGAGGGTCCTGTCCTTTCTTGAAAGAAAGGTTCAAAACCAAAGAGATTCTGTTTCTGGCCTTGGAGAAGCAACCAATCATGTTAATTACCTATAAAAGGGGTCACGTGGCAAGGATCTGAGGATCCTTCTGGAAACAGAGTAGTCCTCAGCCAACAGCCAGCAAGAAAACAAGGATTTCAGTCCTACAATTGTAAGGAAGTTTTTGGGCAATCAGTGAGTTTGAGAGAGGGACCCCAAGTCTCAGATGAGATTGCAGCCCTGGCTGATATCTTGATTTTTATCTTGGTGAGCTCTGGAGCAGAGAATGCAACTCATCTGTATCTAGATTACTGACCCACAGAAATAGTGAGATAATAAATGTATGTTGTTTTTAGCCACAAAGTTTGTGTTAGTTTGTTACGGAGCACCATGAAATCAACACGACATCATACTGATGCTTTTGCCATCATACCATTCAGTACTACCTCGATGTACCTGAGTTTCCTTCCTTCTCTGTAATTATTAATACTACCATAATTATTGCAGTTACCTGGGTAACAATAGATCTTTAAAAAAATCTGATTCTGCCAGAGAGGCTCCCTCAAACATAAAGTAAATAATGATTCGGGTTAGTAAGAAATCACAGAATAATGGGTTTTATAGCCAGAGGTATCTTAGTGATATTACATTAATAGACAGATATGAACCCTCATCAGGCTCAGCCTATTAAAAATTGATGTCACACTCAAGCCTATCCACCCCTTTGTAACCCATCTTATTAAAATAATTTTCCAGATAACTAATTTTTCTCATTCACATTCTCTCACCCCACTTCAACATCTTTTAGAATATCTTGAAACTGCAACTTGGAGAGTTTAAGATGAAAACTTTGAAGTGAGTTCTGAGAGCTTAAAAACATCATACTGAGTTATTAATCTATAGCTTTATCATGGGTCTACATGCCACACAGATAAAAAGACAAGTTTTCACAGTTCACTGGATCCTTCATACCAGAGTAAAACCATGGAGCTTTAAAACAGCAAGCAAGTTAGATCTTCAAGAGACTTGAAATTAGGGTATACCTGCTGGGCGTGGTGGCTCACGCCTGTAATCTCAGCACTTTGGGAGGCTGAGGCGGGTGGATCACCTGAGGTCAGGAGTTCGAGACCAGCCTGACCAACATGGTAAGACCCCCGTCTCTACTAAAAATACAAAAAAAAAAAAAAAAGAAAAGAAAGAAGGAAATTAGGGTATACCTAGAAATATTTCTAAGGGATACACATGATGACTCTTGGGATGGACCCAATGCATAGTGTTCAAAAGGAGATGATTCTTATTGTGCCATCTACATGGGGTCCCACAGTCCTACGAAATTCCCACAAGATTATTTTTGTCGAGATAAAGCTGGGTCACTGTTTTATAATACATAGGATTGCCCACAATATTACAGTGAAAACAGATTTGGCATGCCCCCTAAATCCTACAGGTGGTATTGACACATACAAGAAAAGGCAGCATAGTTTAGGTTGGCAGCATAGACTTTAGTGTCAGGTTTAGGTTTGAGTTTTGACTCCGCTGTTTACTAGGTAAGCAATCTTGGGAAAGTTCTTTAATGTCTGTAAGTCTCAGGTTACATCAGCAGAAAAAAATGGTAATTATAATAATAGCTACCTCATACAATATTGGAGAGGATTATATGATCATGTATGTAAAGCAGTAGCTACTCCCTGTTACAGATGAAGCACTCGATAATTAATAGCTGTTATTATTATATATGAGGATTAAGATATTATTTTGCATGATATGCAAAGAAACCAGCTCATTTACAAATTTGTAAAAGATTTTTTTTCCCCTGGAGGTTAAGCATTAAAGTTTACCAAAATCTCTAAATTTTTATTAAGTTAAAAAATAACTAAAACTTTGCATTCATTTTTAAAATTTAATTTTTATACAAACAACTATTATTAAAACCCTCTATGGCATGGTGACAAGGAGCATGGGCTCTGGAATCAGACCTTCTGGATTTGGATATCATCTCTACCACTTCCAAACTACTTGGGCAAGCCCAGAGCTTTCTTTTCCTCATTTGTAAGGTGGAGATTATAACAGAAACCACTCTTTATGTGCGTTGAGTGGATTAAATTCGATGATACAACTTAAAGCACCCAGTGCAGTGCAGTGCAGTGCTTAAAACAGAATAAATGCCCAATAAATATTCCCTTCAAAAAAGGGAAAAAAAGTGATAAACATAACTTTAAAACAACTACTTATTTTGTGCAATGTTCTCCTAAAATCTCAATAGTAATAAACATGTGTGTATGTGTTTATATATTCATACATATAAATGTATATATATGTTTGTTTCTTCTTTATTCAACATTATTTCATATATACTTTCCCATATACAGTATCAACGCAAGTACATACATATACTTTTCAAATAATAGCTGTTGAGGTATTTCGTTGAACTGCTTTTGGAATATTTGGAATTATTTTCAAAAGTTGCACTGGTCATGGTGGCTCATGCCTGTAAATCCCAGCCATTGGGGAAGCTGAGGCAAGAGGATCACTTGATGCTTGGAGTTTGAGACCAGCCTGGGCAACATAGCGAACCCCATCTTTAAAAAATTTTTTAAATATATGTCAGGCACTGTCGTACACACCTTAGTCCCAGCTACTTGGGAGGCTGAAGCGGGAGGATCCCTTGTCCAGGAGCTTGAGGCTGCAGTAAGCTGTGATTGCAACACTGCACTCCAGCCTGAGTGACAAGAGCGAGACTCTGTCTCTAAAAAATAAATAAACAAATAAAGTAAAACGACAGAAAAAGTTGCTATTATTAATAACACTGATATAAACATCTTTATGCAATGCACCTTATTTTGGGGGAAGGGTAATTTTGGGCTGCATTTTTTAAAGTGTAAACCAGGTTAAGAGGTATACAATAGAGACAAGAGGGCTAACTGACAACATGTAAGAGACACTACCCTACAGACTCCAAACACAGACAAGTTGGTTAAAAGTAGCAACAAAAAGCCCCAAAGTTTTTAAAAAATGCATAGTTGAGCTTGAAAGCAAACAAAGGAAATGTCTAGAGGTTAGAAAACGAAGAGGAAAATCAAACCTATTTATCGCCTCTTCCTTACAGACTCCACCAAAATAACATAAAAGAATAAAACAGAAATAAATCCACAAGGATAAAGAGACTAGGATTAGAGAAGGGCAATGCCGGGATCTTCAACTAAGTCATTATTTTTAAGATCTAAGGCAGGCTGGGCATAGAGGTTCACGCCTGTAATCCCAGCACTTTGGGAGGCCGAGGCAGGTGGATCACGAGGTCAGGAGATCAAGACAATCCTCGGTGAAACCCCGTCTCTACTAAAAATACAAAAAATTAGCCGGGCGTGGTGGCATGCACCTGTAGTCCCAGCTACTCAGGAGGCTGAGGCAGGAGAATCGCTTGAACCCGGGAGGCGAAAGTTGCAGTGAGCTGAGATTGTGCCACTGCACTCCAGCCTGAGCAACTGAGTGAGACTCCATCTCAAAAAAAAAAAAAAAAAAAAAAAATTTAAGGCAAGTATCATAAAATCTTAAGCTATGACTAAGCTGGGTTGTAGGTACATGGTGATTACGTTTTTCTTTGTAATTTTCAGTTATGATTCAATATTTCCAAATGTTAAAAGTACATGGAAAATAAGTTAGTTTCAGAAAGTGATACGTGCTCTAAAAGTGCCTCTCAGACTTGAATGTGCATATGAACAACCTGAGGCATTCTAATTAAAATTCGGATTTTGAATATTTAAGTCTGGCATCGGGCTTGAGATTCTGCATTTCTTTTTTTATTGCTATGTAATAGCTGTACATATTGTTGAAGTACATGTGATATTTTGATACATGATGCATATGATATCATAAACAATATATACAACAAGGTAATAATCAAATAAAGAAACATTTAGCTTTTCTTTATGTTGGGAACATTCTCTTTCTTCCAAATGTGGTGTACATACACAATAAAATATTGTTCAGCCATAAAACAATGAAATCCTGTCATTTGCAGCAACATTGATGGAACTGAAGGTCATCATGCTAAGTGAAATAAGCCAGGTACAAAAAGACAAATACCACATGTTCTCACTCATATGTGGGAGCTAAAAAAGTATATCTCATGAAGGTAGAGGGTAGAATAGTGGTTATCAGAAGGTAAGAAGAGCAGAAGGGAGGGGACAATGAAAAGAGGTTGGTCAATGGGTACAAAAATGTAGTTAGAAGGAGTAATATCTAGTGTTCTATAGTACAGTAGGGCAGGTGACTATAGTTAACAACAACTTACTGTATAGTTCAAAATAGCTAAAAAAGATTCTGCAGTTCTAACAACCTCTCAAGTAATGCCAATGCTAGTGGTCCATGGATCACATTGGAATAGCAAGATTTTAAGGGAAATAACACAAGGCAATGGTGATACAGAGTGGTGGGGACAGGGGGTGGCCTCTTCAGATAAGGTTCTCTTGGAAAGCTTCTCTAAGCAGGTGACATTTGTTTTGAGACCTGAAAGATAAGAAAAAGTCATTTAAAAATCTACAGGAAAGATATTCCTGGTAGAGGGGAAAGCAAGTGGAAAGGTCCTGAGGTGAGAATAAGTTCTGGTATTTTTTAGAAACAGAAGACCACTGTGGCCTTCTTAAATTGCTCAAGTGTTTCTTCCACATTTCAGGTGTTATTAAGTGAAAAGAGCACTATGTTTGGAGTCATAAAACCTAGGTTTGGTCTCCATCCCATTAGCTCTGTGGCCTCTGACCTAGTCACAACTTTTCTTAGCCTCAGTTTCCTCATAAATATGGGCATATTAATAAATAATACCTATCTTCCATGGTCGATGTGAGGACTAAATGAAATAAGGTATGACAAAGCGGATTGTAAGTTACAAAATACTATACACATTTAATTATTGCATACATAAAGTGCTATCATGTGATCTGTGGTTGTAGCAGCTATTTATAGCAGCTTTTATTGTGTATACCTCTGTCTCTTTAATTTATGTCAGACAGTTATGTGTCAAGTTATTACAGGCTGAGTTGGCCTTTTTGTTGCTGCTCTTCCCCAGCAGTGTGCAACTCTTATTATGCCTCACGTTCTATTTCTGGGTGCCCTGGAAATTTTCTTCGGCTTATTTGGCAAATAAATATTTGCCTCACTTTAGCTCATCATAGAGTAACAACTTGGGTATTTCAATGTTATTCACACTTTTTGATCAAAACAGTTGGCTTACAATGAGCACTACTTTTGGAAAAAAATAATTTGGCTCCATTCAAAGACTTTACAACTGGGTGGTAAGATTCAGTGGCAATATTCAGCCCTAAGAGAAATCATTAGTAGAGTCTAGAGTTTCTCTAATGTATACTGTAGCTGTCTAACACAGAATAGATGCTGAATAAATATTTGTTGATGACAATATAGTCATTAATATGAAGCCATTACTGATCTACTGTCAACAATACAATAATAAGCTAGAAACATCCAATTAGTCACTAAGTCTTGCCAATTCCATCTCCTAATTGCCCTGCAATCGATCTACTGCCACTGCTACTGCTAGGTTGAGGCCTTTATTTTATGACTGAACTATTGCATTAACTTCATGACTTCAATATGAACTCCGTCCAATCCAACCTTCTCACTTAAGCCAGAGTAGCTTAATGGACATATAAATCTGATCATGTTACTCTCCTGATTAAAACTCTTCACTGGTTATAGGATAAAGTATTAACTTCTTAGAATGAAATAGAAGGCCCTTTACCATCAGGTCTCTGTTCACTCAGGTTAACCTCCTACTACTTTCCCAAACTCCATAGACTCCTGAACCTGAAAATATTTTCTTATGCCTTCTTGCTTTTAACATGTCATCTTCTTTACGTGTAATTCCAGTCAACCTCTTCAACTTGAATTCTATTTTTCTTTAAATAACTAGCTCAAGCATCCCCTTGAATGAATCCCAGAACAAAAAAGCTAACTGCATGGGCTACAGATTTCTGTTTTTCTTTATCAGACTTACTAGTCCAAAGTACCTCTTCATAAGAAGTCCATAATTATTTGTCTCTTTTGTGTGAAAAGTTGGAGAATGCAGCAGTGAATATAAAATTGCAACTGCATTATTGTCTCCGGGGTTTCAGGTAACATTTACAACTGGAAATGCAGTTTCCTAGATAACTGTAAACATATTTTGACATTTTGTTTGATAATAGTGGTGACAAAAGAATATAAGCCTGTCTTTAAACATGGTCTTCTCTCCATACATTTCACTTTACCACCCTTCAGCCAACCTAAGCGATTTTTCAAGAATTAGGGACGCTGCAAAAACCAAAGCGAAGAGCTAGAAAGAGTGACAAAATTAGTAAAGATGTCTGTAGTCTCTCTGTGTGTGTGTGTGTGTGTGTGTGTGTGAGACTGTCCCACGAGCAACAGACCAAAGGAAAACTGCCCCAAGGTTTGCGCAACAGAGAACAATCAGCAAAGTTAAAGTCCTTACAGGACAGAAAAGCAGTAAATCTTACAGCTGAAGCCTCCTCCCAGGGGAAATTAACGTCTGTAGTTTAATCTTTCCTTAATTCAGAAGGGAGTGAAGATAAGAATATGCATAGGGAAAATGGAGAGAGGGGAGCGTGACATTGAGTTGGAGGAGGTAAGAGAGTATTATGAGAGACAAGATGGGGTTGACAGATTTAGCAGATACAATATTTGGGACACACGCACGAAGAGATGATTCGTTGTTTATGTAAAATTGAAACTTAACTAGGTAGGCATCCTGTATTTCATCTGGCAACTCCAGGAAAAGAGAAAAATACAGTGTTACTCCAATATTCCCGGTTGTGTAAGGAAAACAATCAAAGCTCGGCCCTAAGGAAAAACAAATAAAAGAGGCTGTGCGAATGCATCCGAATCTTCAAACAGAATCCATTTCCGGTCTGGGGCCCTGGGAAAACAAGAAGAGGAGAGACAATTAAGGTAGCCGAATTCAGTCCGCCAGTGTCCCATAATCCTCTTCTCTCGGTTCCTCTTTCCTCGCTCAAGATGGCGCTGCTCGCGATGCATTCTTGGCGCTGGGCGGCCGCGGCGGCTGCTTTCGAAAAGCGCCGGCACTCCGCGATTCTGATCCGGCCTTTAGTCTCTGTTAGCGGCTCAGGTCCGCAGTGGAGGCCACATCAACTCGGCGCCTTGGGAACCGCTCGAGCCTACCAGGTGAGATGCCACTGACATGGAAGAATAGGGTGAAGGGCAAGGGGACCTGTAGGGAAAAGGTTGCCCTCCTGACCTCGGGGCAGAGAGAGCACCAAGAAGAAAGTCATGGCTAACTGGGAGCAGCAGTAAGTGAAGGAAATTAACGTCAGTAATTTGAGGAAAGGGCGAAGAAGAAAACCTTTGAGTTCAGCAAAGGGAAACGGGGCAGGAGGTTCTGGGCAGAGGACACCTGGAGCGCTGGAGGCTCTCGGAGTCATAGTTTTTCTCTCATATTAAGAGTTGGGGTAGACACCATTCCCAGCCTGCTTGCCTTTCTAAAGACGAGGAAGACTGGATTATTTTCCCCAATTAGTAATGGAATTTGGGACAGTTTATCTGTGGTTCAGATTTTACTCAGTTGGAATTAGCAATTCGGAGAGCACTGTAATGACAGCAAGCTATCTATAAACAGGTGGCGCCAGTTAACTCCCTTGCTGACAGGCGTGCTTCTTGATAGGCCAAAACCGTAACTATCTTTCCAAAACATAGACCGCCCTAAATTCTTGTATAAATATGACTGTCCTAGATCTGAAAAATACAGTGATGTTCTCTGTGCACAGGTCATTTTGGAAGCCATAGGCTACTTATCCTTAACTTATGAATGTAGCTATGGTTGTAGTGCCTCCTAAAATTTGAGTCCATTATTACCTCTCACTCAGGAACGGTTTTTTAAAAAATTATTTGTACTTAACTGTACTAAAGTATATCTTTTTATTTTCTGTGTATTGACAAGAGGTTTAATTGCCACCACGTATTTATCACTATCACTTTAAAATATTGTCAGTTTTGTATGAGAAACAACCTCTTAAATTTTGATTCTTCATCTACAAATATTTAACGTCTACCTTGTACATAGCCCTGTGCTAGATGATAGGGTACTAAGAGAGACATACAGTTATGCCTTCAAGGATTGTACAGTTTAGTTAAGGAGATTGGATCTATGCATTACAAAAATAACTGAAAAACACAGTGGTGGGTTAATTAGCAAATGAATAGTATGTACAATAAAGGCTATAGGCATCCAGAGGAAATAGTGATAATTAAGGACCAGGTTATAAAGAGTATTTCATGCTGGTGATAGAACTGGGGAGAATGTTCTGAACAGGGAGAATAGGGAATGACACTAAGCATGTGGAAGGCTGATGGAATGACATTTATAATTCATTCAGTAATTATTGAACACCTCTACAGGAGCAAACAAAATATAAGTCCTGTCTTTAAAGAGCTTAAAATCTAGTGGGAAATATGTAAATTAATCGGCAATTAAAATATAGTGGAGCTGTGTAATAATGGGAAAGGTACAAGGTATGGGACAGTATATGTGAGGGGTATTAAGTCTAATTGTAAGGTAGTGAAGATTGCCTTAAGTAACTGATATCTAAGGCAAGAGCTGAAAAATTAGAAGTTAGCCAGTTAAAGAAGGAATCGCATGTGCAAAGGCCCACAAGTCAGAGAGAACATGGACCTTTTCTAGAACTGCACGTAGTTTAGACTGTAGTGAGTCATTCAAGATAGGAAATAGCAGATTAGGCTAACGAAGCGAATCTAGATGATTTCATTAAGGTTTTTAAAGTATTTTATGGTTGAAAGTTTCTAACACATGATCTCTTGGGAATGGTTTTTGTTCTGTAGTTCTCCAATAAGGCAGATGAAGTTAAGATAAAATTTGTAAATGTTATCTTAGATAAAATTAGATATCTTAAGATAAAATTTCTTAAGCTGGAAGAATGAGGGGGAAGAGGGAAAAGGAGAAGTTATTAGGAATCTCAGAGGAGGCAATGGCAATACAAATTTAGCTTTCTCTCTTTCCATGAACGCTATCTCCACAACTTCCTTCTTCCACTCTGTCCTTTACATCCTACCATTTCCTTTAGTTACCATTTCCTCAGTGTGCAAAACAAGGGAAAGATGTTACCTTTGTTTTCTGTTTCTTAAAGGCATGGAACTCTTGCCATCCTTTTTTTAAAACAGGGTGAGAAAGGAATGATTACAAAGTTTTCAAAGTAGAAGCTGAGGTAACCTGAGGTACCTGCAAATTTGTGACTTGTGATTAAGATTACAAAATAATTACTGAATTCATACTTTTAGGACGATCATTAGTATATAGCATAATATTTTAGAGCTGAAAGGAACCTTAGAGCAGTGTTATGAAATAATGTTAGTGGGTTGGATTAGCACTTTTTTAGATGAAATTCAGTAGAATATAAAGAAAATAGCAGTGCTTTTTACATCTTAAGTGAAGTATTGTTTCATGAACTTTTATGTGTATATACACACACACATATATATTTTATATATATATATACACACACACACACGCACACACACACACACACAGTCCCACATGTATGTGATTACTGGAATTCATTGTAAGTATTTCTCACCCAGTATATGCCCTAGACCTGGGTTGTGGAATATGGTAGTTCTTTTGGATAGGTACTGTTTTGTTTTCATTTGTTGGTCTGACCTCATGGACCAAGAATGGGAGCTTTAATTTCTCCCAGTAGCAAGTTCCACCTTCCTACTCTTCCACCATTGGCTGCTAAGAGTTAGCAGAGTAGATAAAAATTAAAATACTTTACTCCTGGCTTTCATATTAACTGAAGTGGGAATATAATAACAACACTAGGGAAATAATCCTCCTATTCTATATTTTAGAGGTTCTAGTTCATATTTAAATTTAACAATATAAGATGCCTATGAAGAAACTACAGTGATTATTCAACAGTCGTCCCAAAATATACTAAAAGAATAGAAAACAGAACTTATTCATCCTGGCTAACATGGTGAAACCTCGTCTGTACTAAAAATACAAAAAAAATTAGCCGGGCATGGTGGCGGGCTCCTGTAGTCCCAGCTATTCGGGAGGCTGAGGCAGGAGAATGGCGTGAACCCGGGAGGCGGAGCTTGCAGTGAGCTAAGATCGCGCCAGTGCACTCCAGCCTGGGCGACAGAGCAAGACTCCGTCTCAAAAACAAGCAAACAAACAAACAACAACAACAAAAACAGAACTTACAAGAGAAATAAGGGTGTCTTTAAGTGGATTATAGATCATGGAACTGAAAAGGGTGAGAGGTGATTCAGTGACATTTAAAGTACCTGAAGCGGCCTGGCCCAGTGGCTCATGCCTGTAATCCTAACACTTTAGGAGGCCAAGGCAGGTGGATCACCTGAGGTCAAGAGCTCGAGACCAGCCTGACCAATATGGTGAAACCCCGTCCATACTAAAAATACAAAAAGCAGCTGGGCATGGTCACGTGCACCTGTGACTACAGCTACTCAGGAGACTGAGACAGGAGAATTGCTTGAACCCTGGAGGCGGAGGTTGCAGTGAGCCGAGATCGCGCCACTGTACTCCAGCCTGGGCGACAGAGCGAGACTTCCTCTCAAAAAAAAGAAAAAAAAAAAAGGACCTGAAGGGGTTATTTGTAGTTCAGTGATGCCTAAACTTAACTGGAACATTAGGTTATGATACAAAGATGTGGACTTCATTTGCAGGAAGAGGGATTTAATGTGCATATGAGAAATAATTTCTTAGACTAATAGTCTATCTTAGTCTGTTTGGGCTGGTATAACAAAATACCATAAACTACATGACTTATAAGCAAGAGCAATTTATTTCTCACAGTTCAAGGTGCTGACAGATTTAGTGTCTGGTGAGGTCTTGAGGTTCATAGGCGGTGCCTTTTAGCTGTGTCCTCATGTGGTAGAAGAGACAAGGCAGCTCTTTGGCCCCTCTTATAAGGGAACTAATCCTGTTTATGAGAGCTCTACTCTCCAAGTCCTAATCACCTCCCAATGACTCCACCTTTTAATACCATCACATTGGTGATTAAGTTTCAATATAGGAATTTTAGGGGGACACAAATGTTAAAAGCATAGTCCTTTTATTAGGAGACCAATAAAGACTTTTAAAATTATTAAACAATAATTTGCTGTCATTAGAAAAATACGAGCTGTTAGGAAGCAGCCAGCTTGGTTTTGAAAAGAGCAAGACATACCAAACCAATTATTCATATGAGTGAGTGACAGTCTATCTTGATTTCAACACGGCTTTTAATTGTCCCCTACATTGTTCTCACACAGTAAGCTTGGAAGGAATGATATTGAATACTATTAAGAGGTCTTGAGGTAGGAGTAAGCCTTACTGTAAAGAAAATACAGATGACTTAAAAGATTTTTATTTCTAAATGTTAAAAATAATGAAATAACTGGTGTGCAAAGGGCATAACTTGGTATTGTGGGATGAACACTGGACCAGGACACTTGACCGCCTGAGCTCTATTTGTACTGTTAATTATCTTGGACACATAACTTGTTCTTTTGGACATCAGATCCTGTAAACTAGTAATATTTGACTACCAGATCTCTAAGGTTTCTTGCAACTCTCTTGTTTCTTTACTGTAATCCTTTAGGACCAGCCCTTTTTATATAGTACCTCTACTTTGTGATCCTAGTTTACTACTGGTGTAGTATTCAGGAGCAACATAGGGTAAGTTTATGTTCACATGAATTTTTAATGGGACAAATTTGTATTGTTCTTGTCATATTTGTATATCTAAGAGTAGGAATAGAAAAATGTAATTTAATTATGAGCTTAGTATTTGGTAGTGTTGGGAGGATGGAAGTAGTGTGGAGGAAAAAGTAAGCTAGGTTCCGAAATCATCTGGGATGGTAGAAATAGATTCTAAGGGGTGGTGAAGAATAACAGTAATGCTATAAAAGTTGTAAATAAAGATATACCTTACATGGGCTGTATATGGTAAGGAATGGAAAGTGGCACTGGGACTTGAGAAGAGGAATTCAGGGGATTCTTTTTTCAGATATAGTTGAATAAATAACATTCTCTAAGTCATTGACACATTGGTTTTAACTAGTTATTAAGATTATTAGGAAGAGGAAGAAAATTTCATGTTTCTAAACTTTCTTTTAGAACACGAGGCCCTTTGAGAATCTGATCAAAGCCATAGACCTTCTCCCTAGAAAAATATACATACGTATGTGCTTCATTTTGCATGCAATTTCAGGGGAATCAGAAACCTATCCCCTCTTCCAGTCAGTAATCCCTGATTAATACAATATTGCTGGCTGGTGGGTTTCTAATGGTGTTCCTGAGTAGCCAGTGGCAAGATAAAGAGCACTTGTCACTGGGCAGCGGGGTAGAAATAGAGTGGAAACTTACATCAAAATTTTGATTAAATGATAAATGCATAATTGATCATTTAATTATTGTTATACAATTGTTATAAAATTAATATCATTTATTGCTGTATTGTTGTCAGTGTTATCTTAAAGATTTTGCTTTTTCAAAGAAAAGTATGTTCTTTCCCATATTGTAAAATAAGGTATATAATAAGAGATAAAATTGCCCATTCTGTATACGATTCTTATGCTTTACATTGTCCCCATTTTAATTATACAAAACCACATCTAATAAAAACGTCAAGACAGATATCTACAATCCCACATGTTAAATAATTTTTCCTTTTTCCTTTGAATCTCTGTTCTTTCATGTACATAATTTTTACATTATTGGGATAATTTTAAATTCTGTTTTTACTTGTGAGCATTTTTTTTCTTGGTGCTCAGTCTTGACCAAAATTAGGTCTTTTAATTACTTAAGATTTTAGTAATGTTAATAGGTATATATAGTTACCTGCAAAATGTGATATTTTTGTTGTTTTGATTTTCTCCTTCCTTTCCTGAAATCCATCTCCCTGAAGTCCTCATCTGTGCTCTCTTGACTCCCTTGTAGGATTTGCCACTAGTGAGTAAAGATACTTTTCAAGTCTTTATTTAATGTCATTTGGTCTTCACAGTAATCCGGTTAGGTAGATGAACATTTCTTTGTAGTAGCAATGGCCTCTTCTGTCCTTTTCAGTCCCTTAACTTCTGCCCTAGTTTTAGACCCTTATTACTTTATGCATGGGTTTTGTCCCTGCTTTCAGGGACTTGCCCTTTCAATCCATCCTATACAGCACATCTAGATTATTCTTCCTAAGGCATGACTTTTATCCCATCACTTCCCTGCATAAACTTCAGTGGGCTTTATATCTTAGCCTTAAAAATTTCCACCTAACTAGATTGCTAGCCATATTGTAAACTGTTTCTCTACAAATACCCTGTCCCTCCAGTCACCCTATATTGTTCCCTGTTCCTTGGACCATGTGCTTTTTTGTGTCTGTTCTTTTTTTTATGCCACACCCTATGTCTGAAATGCCCTCTCTCTAACTGGTGCCTATTTTTCAAATGTTAGTTCAAAGGTCAGTCCGTTCCCTGAAACCATTCCTTATAAGCTAATAAGACTTTGATTTCTCCCTCCTCTGAACTCCTACAACACTTTTTCCTACAAGTAGTTATGTATCTTGTGGAGGAGATAAGATTTTATGTGCCTAAAATGCTAATATATTCCAATCATCTTTTTGTTTTTATCTTCCACAGAGCTAGGCACGGTATGTTACATGTAATAGGTAATCAGAAAATATATGTAAAATGAATGATTAAACTCTATAACCAAACCAAAGCAAAAATCTAACATAATAATTAATAATATTTGCTCCACTGCTATACATTTGGAATTGAAAGCTAACTTTCTTCAGGGCAACCTCATAAGTTTGTCCGTTGCATTTCTGTCATTAGGCATATGGTACCGTGGTGGAGTAGCATCACTGATTGTTGTCAGTTTTAGTTCAATAACCAAAGCACACTTACTTTTTATCCTAAAATTTTTGAGTTACTTTATTTGTGAGCATCATTTGCTAAGATAAAGTGACTTACAGGATAACATTCTTTGAGGAATAAGATATAAAAATTTGCTGTTTGTAGAAATTTTAACTGCACACTGTATTTTGGGATGTTCATTAGTCCTCTGATTAAGTTTTCTTTACAATATCTAGAGAGGGATGGATATTAAAGTAGGGAAACCGCATCCTAAGGGTATAGTTCCTTAGGTGCTGATGTTTTGGGAGAGCAACTTTTAAACTTCTGCTTTTCAAAGCATATTAGAAAAAGACAAGGTGAAGCTTCGATTTTGGTTTACTTATAAAATTGTTTTTACTGATCTTGAGTAACTTATACTATAATATTGTAATATATTCATATTTTTGAGTGCATGAATGTTTGCTAAGTATGAACTCTTTCTTCAACTACTCTGACTGTAGTGACTTAATAACTGTGCATGTACATGTGTGCTTGCCTGCTACGTTTGCCATAACACCACAGATTGGGTGGCTTATACAACAGAAATGTATTTTCTCACAGTTCTGGAACCCATGAAGTCCAAGATGAAGGTGTCAGTAGAGTTGATTTCTTCTGAGGTCTCTCTCCTTGGCATGTAGATGGCCATCTTATACCTCTGTCTTCACACTGTCTTTTCCACTGTTTGTGTCTGTGTCCTGATATCCTCTTCTTAGAAGTATACTGGTCATATTGGATTAAGGCCCACCTTAATGACCTCATTGAACTTTAATTACCTCTTTAAGGGCCCTGTTTCCAAATATAGTCACATTCTGAAGTATTAGAGGTTAGGACTTCAACATATAAATTTGTGGGGGTGGGGAGTACACAGTTCAGACCATAACAATGTGTGTATGTGTTTGTATGTGTGTGTATGTATATGCAAATACATAGAAAATTGGAAAGATATACTCCAGTCTGGTAAAAGTGGTTACCTCGGGGGTTGGGGGGGGGTTTGGGATGCTAAAAAACAAACAAAAAAAATTTAATTTGCTATTATGGATACACAGACATAGTTTGATATACTGTACTTGTTTTTACAATGAGAAAAATATTTCATGTTTAAGCTTTTCAATTGATGAACTGACCTTTTTGAGTAGGTTATATTATGTTCATTTATTTGAAGTCCAATTTGTTTTGTCTGCTAGTAGTAATGCATTTTATCATCTCTGTAACTTTTATTTTATTTGTTTATTTTTTATTTTTTATTTTTTTGCGATGGAGTTGTGCTCTGTCACCCAGGTTGGAATGCAGTGGCACAATCTTGGCTCACTGCCACCTCTGCCTCCCAGGTTCAAGCGATTCTCCTGCCTCAGCCTCCCAAGTAGCTGGGATTACAGGCGCACACCACCACACCTGGCTAATTTTTGTATTTTTAGTAGAGATAGGGTTTCGCCATGTTGGCCAGGCTAGTCTCGAACTCCTGACCTCAGGTGATCCGCCCACCTCGGCCTTCCAAAGTGCTGGGATTACAGGCCTGAGCCACCACGCCTGGCCTTGTAACTTTTATTTTAAGTTCAGGAGTACATGTGCAGGTTTGTTACATAGGTAAACTTATGTCATGGAGGTTTGTTGTACAAATTATTTTATCACCCAGGTATTAAGCCTAGTAGCCATTAGTTATTTTTTCTGATCCTCTCCCTTCTTCCACCTTCCACCCTCTGATAGGCCCCAGTGTGTGTTGTTTCCTTGTATGTGTCTATGTGTTCTCATCATTTAGCTCCTACTTGTAAGTGAGAACATGTAGTACTTAGTTTTCTGTTCCTGTGTTAATTTGCTAAGGATAATGGCCTCCAGCTCCAGCCATGTCACTGCAAAGGACGTGATTTTGTTCTTTTTTATGGCTGCATAGTATTCCATGATATATTTGTACCACATTTTCTTTATCTAGTCTGTCATTGATAGGCATTTAGGTTGATTCCATGTGTTTGCTATTGTGAATGGTACTGCAATGAACATACGCATGCATGTGTCTTTATAATAGAATGATTTATATTCCTTGGGGTACATACCCAGTAATAGGATTGCTGGGTCAAATGGTAATTCTGTTTTTCATTCTTTGAGGAATTGCCACACTGCTCTCCACAGTAGTTGAACTAATTTACACTCCCACCAACAGTGCATATAAGTGTTCCTTTTTCTTCATAACCTCACCAGCATCTGTTATTTTTTGACTTTTTAATACTAGCCATTCTGACTGGTGTTAGGTGGTGTTTTGTTGTGATTTTGATTTGCATTTCTCTAATGATTAGTGATGTTGAGCATTTTTTTTTTTGTGTGCTTGTTGGCTGCATGTATGTCTTCTTTGGAAAAGTGTTTTTTTCATATACTTTGTCCACTTTATGTTTTTTTTTCTTGTAAATTTGTTTAAGTTCCTTATAGATGCTGGATATTATTAGAGCTTTGTTGGACGCATAATTTGCAAAAATTTTCTCCCATTCTATAGGTTGTCTGCTTACTCTGTTGACAGTTTCTTTTGCTATGCAGAAGTTCTTTAGTTTAATTAGACCTCATTTGTCAATTTTTACTTTTGTTGCAGTTGCTTTTGTTGTTTTTGTCATGAAATCTTTTCCCGTGTCTCTGTCCTGAATGGTATTACTTAGGTTGTCTTCCATGGTTTTTATACTTTTGGATTTTACATGTAAGTCTTTAATCCATCTTGAGTTAATTTTTGTTTATGGTATAAGGAAGGCTCCAGTTTCAATCTTCGGCCTGTGGCTAGCCAGTTATCCCAGCACCATTTATTGAATAAGGACTCCTTTCCCCATTGCTTGTTTTTGTCAGGTTTGTTGAAGATGATATGGTTGTAGGTGTTAGGCCTTATTTCTGGAGTCTCTATTCTGTTCCATTGGTCTGTGTGTCTGTTTTTGTACCAGTACCATGCGGTTTTGGTTACTGTAGCCTTGTAGTATAGTTTGAAATCAGGTAATGTGATACCTCCAGCTTCATTCTTTTTTCTTAGGATTGCCTTGGCTATTTGGATTCTTTTTTGTTTCCATTTGGATTTTAAAATAGTTGTCTCTAGTTCTGTGAACAATGTCAATTACCATTGACATTTAATAGGAGTAGCATTGAATCTATAAATTGCTTTGGGCAGTATGACCATTCTGACTATATTGATTCTTCCTATCCATGAGCATGAAATGTTTTTCCATTTGTTTGTGTCATCTCTGATTTCTTTGATTAGCGGTTTGTAGTTCTCCTTGTAGAGATCTTTCACCTCCTTATAGTTAGCTGTATTCCTAGGTATTTTATTTTCTCTGTGGCAATTGTAAATGAAAGTTTGTTCCTCATTGGTGCTTGGCTTGATGGTTGTCGGTGTATAGGAATGCTAGTGATTTTTGTTTTTATTTTTTTATCTTTTTATTTTAATTTTTATTTTTTTAGAGCCGGCCTTGACTCACTGCTAGTGATTTTTGCACATTGATTTTGTGTCCTGAGACTTTGCTGAAGTTGTTTATCAGATTAAAAAGCTTTTGGGCTGACACTATGGAGTTTTCTAGATACAGGATCATGCCATCTGCCAACAGGGATAGTTTGACTTCTTCTCTTCCTATTTGGATGCCCTGTATTTCTTTCTCTTACCTGATTGCCCTGGCCAGAACTTCCAATACTGTGTTGAATAGGAGTGGTGAGAGAGGGCATCCTTGTCTTGTGCTGGTTGTCAGGGGAATGCTTCCAGCTTTTCCTCATTCAGTATGATGTTGTGATGTTGGCTGTGGGTTTGTCACATACGGCTCTTCATATTTTGAGGTATGTTCCTTCAATATCTAGTTTATTGAGAGTTTTTAACATGAATAGATGTTGAATTTTATTGAAAGCCTTTTCTGTATCTATTGAGATAATCATGTGGTTTTTGTCTTTACTTCTGTTTATGTGATGAATCACATTTATTGATTTGGGTGTGTTGAACCAACCTTGAGTCCTGGGGATAAAGCCTACTTGATTGTGGTGGATAAGCTTTTTGATGTGCTGATGGATTTGGTTTGCCAGTATTTTGTTGAGGATTTTTGCGTTAGTGTTCATTAAGGATATTGGCCTGAAGTTTTTTTTGGTGTTGTGTCTCTGCCAAGTTTTGGTATGAGGATGATGCTGGTCTCAGAATGAGTTAGGGAGGAGTTCCTTCTCAATTTTTTGGAATAGTTTCAGTATGAATGGTACCAGCTCTTTGTACATTTGGTAGAATTCAGCTGTGAATCTGTCTCGTCGTGGGCTTTTTGTGGTTGGTAGGCTGTTTATTACTGCCTCAAGTAAAGAACTCATTATTGGTCTGTTCAGGGATTCAATTTCTTCCTGGTTCATGGAGATCCTCCCATACTCTGAGCGATCACTCCTGCTTGTGGGACATAGAGAAGACACCAATATCTGAGATGGCCAGCACCCCATCCCAGAATAAAAAAGTCTTTAATGCATTTATAAAGCATTCCTGGAAGTATTTGCTGCTTTTAAATGTAACCAGTTTTTGGTTGTTACTTCATTGCGGAATTGGGAGATTCTTTGGAAATTGAGTCCTAGTGTTTCCTATTCATTTCAGTGGTTTCTCCTCTTGCTGTGCATATTTGATTCTGCATATTTGATTCTGCCTAATAAAGAGCTATTTATACTTAGGTTTCTTTTTTTCAAAATCAAGTTTTTATATTAAAAAAAATTACAAAAACAGTACAAACCCACTACTGAAAGATTAGAAAATACAGAAAAGCCAAAAAAAAAAAAAGCAGCTATGCTAATAGGTCAGTATAACCTATACTTTTAATAATACCAGCTAATATTTTTATAGTGTTTTAGTTTACAAAATGCTTTAAAATTTTACTTTTTCTTGCTTCTACCTATTTATTTAGTGGTTTTCACCAGGATTAGAAAAAAGGCTCCCTATTGATTAGAGCTTTACTCTCTAATATAGTAGATACTAGCCATATGTAGCTATTTAAATTGCAATTAAAATTAAATTAAAGATTTAGTAACTTAGTCATACTAGACATAATTCAAGTGCTCAATAGCCACATGTGGCTAAGTAGCTATTATATTTCACCACACAGAATATTTCTGTCATCACTGAAAGTTTTCTTGTACATGGCCATTCTAGAAAGTAATTTTAAGTAGGGAGTGACATTATCAAATTTGTTTTAGGGCTGTGATTCTGGGTGCAGTTTGAGGGAAAGATTAGAAATAGGCAAGGATTGGAGATAGGGACATTAATTAAGAGAATATTGAAGTAATATAGGAGAGAAGTGATAAGTGCCTGCATTGCCTGTCATGAGGTAGCATTGTCAAGATTTGTCACCAAGTATTCTTGTATCATGGAAAGAAGACAGGGCTTTGAAGCAGGAGAGTGTTACCTTATCTTAGTTATTTTATCTCAGTCTCAGTGTTTTTAGACTATAAATGGGTATTTGAATAAAAATTTTCTTACCCATCTGATATGGTTTGGCTGTGTCCCCACCTAAATCTCATCTTGAATTATAACTCCCACAATTCCCACATGTTGTGGGAGGTGATTGAATTTTGGGGACAAGTCTTTTTTTGTGCTGTTCTCGTGATAGTGAATAAGTCTTACGAGATCTGATGGTTTTATAAGGGAGAGTATCCCTACACAAGCTCTCTTTGCCTACCATCATCAATGTGAGACGTGTCTTGCTCCTCCTTGCCTTCTGCCATGATTGTGAAGCCTCCTCCACCATATAGAACTGTAAGTCCATTAAACCTCTTTTTCTTCCCAGTCTCGGGTATGTCTTTATCAGCAGTGTGAAAATGGACTAATACAGTAAATTGGTACTGGTAGAGTGGGGCACTGCTGAAAAGATAACTGAAAATTTGGAAGTGACTTTGGCACTGGGTACCAGGCAGAGGTTGGAACAGTTTGGAGGGCTCAGAAGAAGACAGGAAAATGTGGGAAGGTTTGGAACTCCCTCGAGACTTGTTGAATGACTTTGACCAAAATGCTGATAATGATAATGGACAATGAAATGCAGGCTGAGGTGATCTCAGACGGAAATGAGGAACTTATTGGGGACTGGAGCAGAGATGACTCTTGGTATGTTTTAGCAAAGAGACTGGTGGCATTTTGCCCCTGCCCTAGAGAATCGTGGATCTTTGAACTTGAGAGAGATGATTTAGGGCATCTAGCAGAAGAAATTTCTAAGCAGCAAAGCATTCAAGAGGTGATTTGGGTGCTGTTAAAAGCATTCAGTTTTAAAAAGGAAACAGAGCCCTTTGTGCTTCCATAATCCATTGCTTTGATAAATAGAGTAAATCTATTTAAATAAACCTATTGTAAAACTCTTTGAAACAAATTCTTAAATGTTACTAGCTTAGAGTATGGTCATATATGTAAAAACAGTAAAATCAAACTGTATTCTGTTTCTAGAGTTTATCACCACCTAATACAGCTCTATGTTTACAAAAAGAACATGCTACCAGTCTTTTAACAAACACTTATTGGGCACCCGCCATTTGGCAGACATTCTACTAGGCACCGGGGCTATAGCCGTGAATAAGAAACAGCCTTGCCCTCCAGGAATTCACAGTTTGAAGGAGAAAACAGGTAGGCAAACCAATACTTTAAGGTGTGGTAAATGCTTTTGTAGAGCGACGTGCAGGATTTTATATGAGCCCGGAGATGGGGAACCACCTTCAGTCCAAGGAGGTCAAGAAATACTTTGCAGGTGAACAATTTATAGATGAATATTGAAGTCTTGTGGGTAGATGTTGGACTGGTGGATGAATGGGGAAAGGCTAATTTAAAAACACCTTGGGGGGAGATTCTTTGAAAGTATGCAAACATCATATTTCTTTCTAAACTTTCAGTAGCTAATTTTAGCATGCATCAGTGGATCTTGTCTGCAATTATTACTATGGTGTTTGCCTAATTACAGTTGGCCCTCCATATCCATGGGTTCCGCATCTGTGGATTCAATCAACTGCAGGTTAAAATATTTGGAGAAAAAATGATGGTAGCATCTACTGAATATTTACAGACTTTTTTCCCTTGTCATTATTTCTAAAACAATACAGTATAACAACTATTTATATAGCATTTACATTGTATTAGGTACTACAAGTAATATAGAGATGATTTAAGGTATACAGGAGGATGTGCATAAGTTATACATAAATACTACACCATTTTATATAAGGGCCTTAAGTATCTGTGGATTGTGGTATCTATAGGGGTTCCTGGAACCAGTCTCCCACAGATACTGTGGGACAACTGTCTGTTTTTCTGTTTCCCTCATTCCTTCTACATTTGTTAATTGGAATTTTTCTGTAAGGAAGAGATGTCCCTTCTCTCTCATTTAATCATTAATTTATTTATACCAGGATGGACCCACAGATGTTAATTATATTCTATGAGTTAAAATCCATTACATTAATTATATATTTTGTTGCTCTGTTTTTCCAGGTTTGGGCTATTGGGAGATCCTTTTAGGTTGGCTCCTGTTTCGTTTGGACATGCCCTCATCTTTTTACAAGCATTTCTTTACTTTCTGGCATCACACAATGCTCCAGGTTCATCTTATATTTTCCCTGCACTGGCCCTGAAATCAGCCCCCTTTCTGGAGGGCGGTTTGTCAGAATGAATCAAAAACCTTAAAAAAAATTTCACCCTCTTTGACCCAACAATTCTACTTCTAAGAAACTGTCTTAAGGAAACAATCAGGAAAGTGCACAAATGTTTATAAGTTAATATACAGATACTCTTTACTGTGTTATTTGTAGTGCTCAAAGTTGAAAACAGCTTTTGTATCTGACACTGGGATTGGTTAAATAAATTATGGTTCAGCCATCAGTTCACCAATCTTGGAACTGATGTTTTTCAACAATATTTAATGATGGGGAAAATGCATATGATCTAATATTCAGTGTAAAAAGCAGTCTAAAAAATTCAGTAGGCCAAATGATTATATTAAAAAAAAACATAAGCAAGAAACAGCGATTTAAAAAGAAGCACACCCAAATATAAAAACATTGTTTATCTCTGGATGGTAGGATAATGGGTGACTGTTATGTTCTGTCATCTTCTCTATATTTTCCAAATTTTCTACAATGAACCCAACTTTCATTTTTGTGATGCTGAAATACGTTACAGTAAATATGTAGTTTGAGCCCAATTATTGTCTATTCTTTGCTGTGGCCTTTAAGTTTCTCAGCGAAGCAGCTGCCAGAACCTGAGCTGCTTTCTGTCTCCAAAGCTTGGTTTAGAATTAAAAGATGCTGAATTGATATCTTTTTTAGAGAAAAATGAAATTAAAAAATGCCAACATATTGACAAGAGGTGACTTTAGCTCATCTCTCATGTGCTCCACTTTCATCCCGAAGACATGAGAGTTAAGGGTTTTTGTCTTTGTTTTTAACCTTATGAGATTATGTCCTGGTGATAGAACTTCTACTTCATTCCACAACTCTCATGGGTAAAATTAAGAAGAATAGAGAGATTTGGTGGTATAAAAGGATGAGAGAAACATTTGGTCTTGGTTTGTATTCTCTTCTAATTTTATTTTTGACTCTGAGTGTCTTTTCATGTCCTTTTCACATCCTGCCTTTAAATTAAAGAGCATATCAGAACAAGGTCAGAAAGTGAAGGTGGGAGGAAACCTTCACTCCCAATCCTGTCCTAGCCTTTTATCCTGGTTGTCTATAAAGGAGAGCAGAGACCTTCCAGATGGAAAATCCATTCTTATCCTGGGAGTAGATAAATGGTCATATCACTTCTTTTCATTGTTTTAAGGTTTAATTTTATCATATTTAATTGTTACCCCATTAATGGTTTATTTTAGTGTATGGTATTAAGTAAAGATCTCTTTTTTCCCATACTGATTTTAATATGAAGAATTTGTCAAACAGTAACTTTATATTTGGATTTGTTTCAATATTTGGTACTTGATCTCATTAATTTCCCTATCCATATGTCAGTACCACACTGTTTCCTTTATTAGAAACAGGGTTTCACTGTATTGCCCACGATGGACTTGAACCCCTGAACTCAAAGTATCCTCCTGCCTCAGCCTCCCCAGTAGTTGAACTACAGGCATGCACCACCACACTCAGCTTCACACACCATTTATTTTACAATATAATGTAATATCTGATAGAATAAGTTTCTCCTTCCCAACACACTTACATTACTCCTCGTCTCCAAAATTTTCTTGGCTTGTCTCACTAGTTTATTCTTCCAGAGGAGCTATTAAAATAGTTTTGTCAAGATCTCCTTTAAAAATCCTGTAGAGATTTCTATTGGATTTCATTAAATCTATTAATTTGGGGAGCATCAATATCATCATATTATATAATCTAGTATTTTTCTCCATTTAAATTTTCTTTTATGTACTTTGGTAAAGTTTTGTAGCTTTGGTCATATGTGTCTTAAACATTCTATACAAATTGATTGCTAATATGTGTATGTACAGTTGATATTGTGACAGTCTAATCCATATTATATTTTCTATAAACTAAGGGCATCTTCACAATGCATTAAAATACGCAGAACTTTTGTACTAGCCTGTATGATTATACACTTACAGATTAAAAGCTTATATGTAGAAATCTGCCTAGATAACATCTATGAGAATCATTTGAGGAGGAAAGGAATTAAGTTAAATCAATGTTTATATGAGCATTTCTCTGAGAAGCATTATGAAGTTTGGCATGGCAGATATAAAGAATCCAAAGACATGTGACCTGCCTTCATTGAGTATATAGAATAATTCAATAAAATGTAATGTGAGTTTAAACCTAAATAAAAATAAAGAAGACTTCAAGAACAGTTCAGAACCATATAAGAGATTACATGATTGACCAGTGAGTTTTGTAAACAGGTACTACTCTCAGATGAGAGAGTTACTTCAGGCTTGGAGAAGAGAGTGATGTGGAAAGGATTTAGGAAGGTGGTAAATTTTGACTGACATCTTGAGAGATGATTAGAGAAAGAAGAAGGGAGAAGACATTCTAGGCAAGATAACTCATGTCAGCAAATGTGCAAAGTGTGTTTGAAGGTTAGTGAATACATCAGTTCGAATAAAGTGTTCATGAAATAGAGATGGGAGAGATATGACTGAAAAGGTCAATTGGTGTCAGATCAACATAGAACTTAAATACCATTCCAAGGGTGTTTGGAGTTATTAGGGAGCTATTAGATAATTTTGAGCAGAGGGAATAAGGGTTTGAAGTGTTTTAGGAAGATTAATCAGTGGTATACAGCAGTGGTTCACAAATGTGAACCTGAGATTAGGTGCTGAGCTAGCTGCATCAGAATTACCTTAAGGTCTTAAAAATAGTTTCAGATCCCTGTATCACATCCCTGAAGATCCCTTTTTTTTTTTTTTTTTTTGAGGCAGAGTCTCGTTCTGTCGCCCTGCTGACGTGCAGTGGCTCTATCTCGGCTCACTGCAATCTCTGCCTCCCGGGTTCAAGCGATTCCCCTGCCTCAGCCTCCCGAGTAGCTGGGACTACAGGTGCATACCACCACGCCCAGCTAATTTTTTGTATTTTGGAAGAGACAGGGTTTCACCATGTTGGCCAGGATGGTGCTGATCTCCTGACCTCATGATCCACCCACCTCTGTTCCCAAAGTGCTGGGATTACAGGCGTGAGCCACTGCGCCTGGCCTCATATCCCTGAAAATTCTTGTTCAGCAAGTCTGGGATAATGTTCAAGAGTCTATATTTTTTAAAAGCTTCTGGTGGATTCTGATGTATATTCAGGCTTGGGAACTACTATTGTAAAAGATGTATGAAAAAGGAATCCCAGTTAAAAAGCTATTCTGTATGTCAAGTTACTTGTTAATATCTGTGAAGTGATATAGAAGGTGTTTCTTCATTCCCTCCAATATTAGTATCTGGTTTGGGAAAATCTTTATGAAGAGCTTTTATTGGGAGTTAATTAAAAAGAAAAAAATTTTAAAGCAGTCAAAACTAAAACAAAACCCATTAAATACAGATTGAACAATACAGTTGCCAGGCTTGATTTTGTATGTGTGTGTGTACATACGTATATGTATAAATATGCATGTGTGTATACACACATAAATATGTACCTAACAGCTTCATAATACATACTTTTTTTCTTCTGTTGGAACACGTGTGTGTGTGTGTGTGTGTGTGTGTGTGTGTGTATGAGGGTTGCAATTTCTCCACATCCTTGTCAACACTTGTTAACATCTATCTTTTTAAATTTTAGTTATACTGGTGGATGCGAAGTGATGTTTTATTGTGGTTTTGATTTGCATTCTCCTAATGACTAATGGTATTGAGCATTTTTTGTGTGTGTGTAAGCAAACATTTAGAAGATGTTTTTATTTTTTTCTTTCCAACTTTTAGGTTCAAGGGATACATGAGCAGGTTTGTTACATGGATAAACTGCATGCCATAGGGGATTAGTGTAAAGATAATTTTGTCACCCAGGTAATTAGCATAATACCCAATACATAGTTGTTCCATGCTCTCCCTCCTCCCATTGTCTACCCTCAAATAGGCTCTGGTGTCTATTGTTCCCTTCTGAGTGTCCATGTGTACTCAATGTTCAGCTCTCACTTAGAAATGAGAATATGCAATATTTGGTTTTCTCTTTACGTCTGTTAGCTTAGGATAATGGCCTCCAGCTCCATGTTGCTGCAAAGGACATGATATCATTTTTTTATGGCTATGTGGTATTCCATAGTGTGTATGTACCACATTTTCTTTATTCAGTCCACCATTGATGGGCATCTAGGTTGATTACATATCTTTGCTATTGTGAATAGTGCTGCCACAAACATATGCAGGCATGTGTCTTTATGGTAGAAGGATTTATATTCCTTTGGGTGTATACCCAGTAATGAGATTGCTGGATCGAATGGTAATTCTGTTTTAAGTTCTTTGAGAAATCTCCAGAATGCTTTCCACAATGGCTGAACTAATTTACATTCCCACCTACTGTATATAAATGGTCCTTTTTCTCCAAAACCTTGCTAACATCTGTCATTTTTTGACTTTTTAGTAATAGCCATCCCAACTGGTATGAGATGGTATCTCATTGTGGGTTTGATTTGCATTTCTCTAATGATAAATGATGTTGAGTATTCGTTAATATGCTTGTTAGCCATGTGTTTGTTTTCATTTGAGAAGTGTCTGTTCATGTCCTTTGCGCATTTTTAATGGGGTTGGTTGGTTTATGCTTGTTGGTTTATGTTCCTTATAGATACTGGATATTAGACCTTTGTCGGATACATAGTTTGCAAATATTACCCCCCATTCTGTAGGTTGTCTATTTACTCAGTTGGTTGTTTCTTTTGCTGTACAGCAGCTCTTTAGTGTAATTAGGTCCCATTTGTCAATTTTTGTTTTTGTTAAAATTGCTTTTGGTGTCTTCCTCCTGAAGTCTTTGCCAGGTCCCATATCCAGATGGTATTTCCTAGGTTGTCTTCCAGAGTTTATAGTTTTGGGTTTTACGTTTAAGTCTTTAATTGATGTTGAATTTATATTTGTCAATGGTTAAAGATAGGGGCCCATTTTCATCTTCTGCATATGGCTGGCCAGTTACCCCAGCAGCATTTATTGAATAGAAAATCCTTTCCCCATTGCTTGTTACTGTTGGCTTTGTTGAACATCAGATGGCTGTTGGTGTGCAGCTTTATTTCTGGGTCCTCTAACCTGTTCCAATGGTCAGTCTGTCTGTTTTTATACCAGTACCATGCTTTTTTAGTTACTATAGCCTTGTAGTATAGTTTGAAGTCAAGTATTGTGATGCCTCCATGCCTCCAGCTTTTTTGTTGTTGTTGTTGTTGTTTTGTTTTTGTTTCTGTTTTTGCTTTTGCTTAGGATTGTTTTGGCTATTTGAGCTACTTTTTGGTTCCGAATTAATTTTAGAATGTTTTTTTCAGATTCTTTGAAAAACGTTGGTAGTTTGAATAGGAATAGCATTGAATCTAAATTGCTTTGGGCAGTATGGCGATTTTAACAATTTTGATTCTTCATATCCATGAGCATGGGATATTTTTCCATTTGTTTGTGCCATCTCTGATTTCTTTTAGCAGTGTTGAAATCCTCATTGTAGAGACCTTTCACATCCCTAGTTAGCTGTATTCTTAGGCATTATATTCTTTTTGTTGCTATTGTGAATGGGATTCTATTCTTGATTTGACTCTCAGCTTGGACATCATTAGTGTGTATAAATGCTGCTGATTTTTGTACATTGATTTTGTATCCTGAAACTTTGCTGAAATTGTTTATCACATATAGGAGTCTTTGAACAAGGACTATGAGGTTTTCTAGGTGATATCTAGATGATATGATAGTATCATATCATCTGTGAAGAGAGATAAATTGATTTCCTCTCTTCCTATTTGGATGCCTTTTTTTTTTTCTCTTGCCTGATTGCTCTGGCTAGAAAATCCAGGACTATGTTGAGTAGGACTGGTGAGAGTGACATCTTCATCTTGTTCTGGTTCTCAAGAGGTATGTTTCCAGGTTTTGCCAACTCAGTATGCTGTTGGCTGTGGGTTTGTCTTAGATGGCTCTCATTACTTTGAGATATTTTCCTTCAATGCCTAGTTTGTTGATGGTTTTTTAACATGAAGGGATGTTGAACTCTGTCAAAATTCTTTTGTGTGTTTATTGAGATGATCATGTGGTTTTTCTTTTTAGTTCTGTTTCTGGTGATGAATCACATTTATTGATTTTTATATGTTGAACCAAACTTACATCTCAGGGATAAAGCCTGCTTGGTCATGGTGGATTAGCTTTTTGTTGTGCTGCTGGATTTGGTTTGCTAGTATTTCATTGATGATTTTTAAATCTATGTTGGTCGGGGATATTGGCCTGAAGTTTTCTTTTTTGTTGTTGTTGTATCTCTGCCAGGTTTTGGTATCAGATTGGTGCTGGCCTCATAGAATGTGTTAGGGACCAGTTGCTCCTCTTCTATTTTTTGAATTGTTTGAATGGGATTGGTACCAGCTCTTCTTTATACATCTGGTAGAATTTGGCTGTGAATCTGTCTGTTCCAGGGCTTTTCCTGGTTGGTAGGCTTTTTATTACTGTGTCAGTTTTGGAACTCATTTATCTGTTTAGGGCTTCAATTACTTACTGGTTCAATCTTGGGAGGTTGTATGTTTCTAGGAATTTATCCATGTCTTCTGGGTTTTCTAGTTCGTGTGCATAGAGGTGTCTGTAATAGTCTCTGAGGGTTTTTTTTTTTTAATATCTGCGGGGTCGACAGTAATGTCCCCTTTGTCATTTCTGATTGTGTTTATTTGGATCTTCTCCCTTTTTTCTTTATTAGTCTAGATAGTGGTCCATCAATCTTATTTATTCTTTTGAAGAACCATCTTTTGTTTTTGTTGATCTTTGGTATGAGTTTTCTCATCTCCATTTTATTCAGTTTAGCTCGATTTTGGTTATTTCTCTTCTGCTAGCATTGATGTTAGTTTGCTCTTGTTTTTCTGGTTCCTTTAGATGTGATGTTAGGTTGTTAACTTGAGATATTTCTAACTTTTTGATGTGGGCATTTAGCACTCTAAGTTTTCATCATAACACTGCGTTAGTTGTGTCTCAGAGATTCTGGTATGTTGTATCTTTATTTGCATTAGTTTAAAAGAATTTCCTGATTTCTGCCTTAATTTCATTATTTACCAAGAAGTCATTCAGGAGCAGATTGTTTAATTTCCATGTACTTTTATAGTATTGAGTGATTTTCTTAGCATTGATTTTTATTTTTATTTTTCTGTGGTCTGAGAGTGTGGTTGGTACAATTTCAGCTTTTTTGAATTTGTTGAGAATTGCTTTATGGTAAAGCATATGGTCTATTTTAGAGTATGTGCCATATGCACATGAGAAGAATGTATATTCTATTGTTCTTGCATGGAGTGTTCTGTAGATGGCTGTTAGGTCTATTTGATCAAGTGCGAGGTTAAGTCCCGAATATCTTCGTTAGTATTCTGCCTCAATAGTCTGCCCAATACTGCCAGTGGGGTGTTGAAGCATCCCACTATTATTGTGTGGTTATCTACATCTCTTTGTAAGTCTCTAGGAACTTCTTTTATTAATCTGGGTGCTCTAGTGTCAGGTGCATATATATTTAGGATGGTTATATCTTGTTGAATTGAACCCTCTATCATTATGTAATGCCCTTCTTTGTCCTTTTTGATTGTTGTTGGTTTAAAGTCAGTTTTGTCTGAAATAAGAATGGCAAGCCCTGCTCTTTTCGTTTTTTGTTTACTTCATCTTTCTCCATCCCTTTACTTTGAGCCTGTGGGTGTCCTTGAATGTGACATGAGTCCACTGAAGATGGCATACAGTTTGGTCTTGTTTCTTTATGCAACTTGCCACTGTTTGCCTTATAAGTGTAGCATTTAACTCATTTACATTTAAGGTGAATATTAATTAAGGTGCATATTTGATCCTGTCATCGTGTTGTTAGCTGATTTTTATGTAGGCTTGATTATGTATTTGCTTTATAGTGTTGATGGTCTATGTATTTGAGTGTGTTTTGTGGTTTTTGGTAATGGTCTTTTGTTTCCGTGTTTAGCACTCCTTTAAGGGCCTCTTGTTAAGGCAGGCCTGGTGGTAATGAATTCCCTTAACATTTGCTTGTCTGAAAAGGATTTTGTTTCTCCTTTGCTTACGAAGCTTAGTTTGGCTGGATATTAAATTATTGGCTAGAATTTCTTTTCTTTAAAGATGCTGAATATAGTTCCACAGTCTCTTCTGGCTTTTAGGGTTTCTGCTGAAATGTCCACTGTTAGCCTAATGGAGTTCCCTTTGTAGATGACCTGCCCCATCTCTCTAGCTGCTTTAATATGTTTTATTTCATTTCGACCTTGGGGGATCTGATGACTATGTGTCTTGAGGATGGTTGTTTTGTACTGTATCTCACACTGACAGGAATTCTCGCAGAATTTCCTGAACTTGTATGTCAGCCTCTCGTGAGGTTGGGGAGATTTTTGCATACAGTATCCTCAAATATATTTTCTAAGTTGCTTTCTCTCCCTGTCTTTCAGGGATGTCAATTAGTCATAGATTTGGTCTGTTTACTTAATACCATATTTCTCCCAGATTTTGTTCATGAAAAAATTATTTCTTATTTTTGTGTAACTGAGTTAATTTGAAGAACCTGTTTTTGAGCTTTGAGATTCTTTCCTCAGCTTGATTCATTCTGCTGTTAATACTCCCCCTTGTGTTTCGAAATCTTGTAGAGAATTTTTCAGCTATTTAGCTCATTTTGGTTCTTTCTTAACATGGCTATTTTGTCTTTCATCTCTTAAATCATTTTATTGTATACCTGGGATTCCTCAGAATGGGTTTCAACGTTTTCCTGAATCTAGGTGATCTTCATCGTGGTCCCAATTCTGAATTCTATGTCTGTAATTTCAGCCATTTCCTCCTGGTTAAGAACCATTGCTAGGGAGCTAGTGTGGTAGTTAGGAGGTAAGGAGATAACTCTGGCCTTTAGAGTTGCCAGAGTTGTTGTGCTGGTTCTTTCTCATCTGTGTGGGCTGATGTTCCTTTAACTGTGGTGTAATTGACTTTGTTTCTGGACGTTTTCAAAGGGCTGAGGCTTGCCGCAGGGTCTTTATTCGTGGCTGAATTCTTGTTCTTGGTTTCATAGCAGAGTATTTTAGCAAGGTATTTTTGGTGTTGAAGTTTGGACTTTAATCCAGATGATACTTAAAGTATAATGGCTGGTAGGTAGGCTTTTGCTCAGCTGTGCAGTTCCTCTGTATTTCCTTGCATTTACAGCCATGCTCCCTCTCAGTGCTTTGAGAGTGTGGGCTCCTCTCCCACTGGAGTGCTGGCTGTAGATCTTGGTTTGGCACTCCTGAGCTGTGCTCCACAAGTCTGGGGTGAGCTCAGGCTTTTTGTTCCCTCTTCAGCTGGAGTCAACAGGGTTGGCGACCTTGGCAGTGACAATGGCAGAGGGCCTTTCGCTTGTTCCTTGGGGCTCTGCCCCAGGCAAATGCAGAGCTGCTGTCAGTCAGAACGATCAGCCTAATGTGGAGTGGCTGTGTTGCGGGCCCAAGCCAGAGTTCCCTGCCTGGTGCTGGGCAGAGGAGGTCAGAGGCTCACAGAGAAGTCATTGTGGCCTCTTCTTCATAGGAGAGCTGTGGCATGCTGGATGTGTGAGTGAAGCACTCAGGATCTTTGTTCCTTCCCCAGTCCGAGGGCAGCAAGGCCGGTAGTACTGTAGTAGCAGTGGCAGAGGCTGAGGGGCTGTCAGTGGCCACTGATAAACTCCACCCCAGAGAAACACAGAGCCACTAACAATGGGAATGTTCAGCCAAGTGTGGGGAAGCTACGCGCAGCCCCAAGCCCGGGGCCCTGCCTGGTGAAGAGGAGGGGTGGGGACTCACAGGTAAGAGAAATTGGGCTCCTCTGTATGGTGGCTGCAGTGTCACGGAGGTATCAGTGAAGTGACCAGGCTCTTTTTTCCTTCTCCAGCTCAAAAGCAGTAAGGGTGGTACTACTGTAGCTGTAATGGCAGAAGGGATATGGGTTGACTCTGGGATTTCTTCCTCAGAGAGATGCAGAGCTGCTCAGGTGGTGTCAGGGTGGTTGTGCTGTGGGCCCAGGTCAGAGGGCCCTACCCAGTGAGGAGTAGTAGGGGCAGGGACCTGTGTGGAGAACAGACTGGCCACTTTTACATAAGGCAGCTATGCTATGCTGGAGGTTCATAATAGTCCTTAAGCTCTTTGCTCTCTCCTGAGCTTGAGGGCATTGGGGTGGGAGCTGTAGCAGCAGCAAAAATGGCGGTCTGTGTGTAGTCTTTCTATGTGTTTGCACTTTGAGACTGAAGGGGATTTGTTTCAGCCTAATTTTGTTGTAAATGTTGTTCACGGGTTCTGTTGTTGGTTATTCTGTTGTTAGTGTGAGAATTTGGGAAGTTAAAAAAATTATATATACGTCCACTGCCCTGCCATCTCCCCCATCATATGCTTTTTAAACCATTTATTAAAGTATATATGCAGGAAATGCACATATAAGTATACAGCTTGATGATTTTTTTACAAACCGAACAGACCCATGTAAACCTGTGCCAAGAATGCCATCATGTTTGAAACACAATTAAGTTGGATATAAAACTCTAGGCTCAACATTCTTTCCTTTCAATGCTTTGAAAATCCTACTCCATTTTCTTTTTGCATCTAGTATTACTCTTAAGAAGTCTGATGTCCATCTGATTTCTTTTTACTTCATGTTATTTGTAATTTTTAAAATAACTTTTCTATTTTTTCTATGTCCCCATTTGTCTATGTGACTCTTAGTTATTTGTTTTTTTTGAGATTCATTTAGAATATATTATTTTACTTACATGTTTTTAAATTTTACTGTCAATATGTCTAGGAGGTAGTTTTTTCTTATTCTCTTGGCACTCTGTGGACTCTTTCAGTATGAAATATTTTATCTTTAATTTTTGTACAATGAATCTCTTTATTTTTGTAAATATTTTTATCTCCATTTTGATTTTTTCTTTTCCTTTGCTTCAGTAAATAGTTGTTAATATGTACACTTTTGTGTTGCTTTATTTATATTATTACTTTTCATACCTAATATTTCCATTCTCTTTTCAAGGTACTGATTCTCCCTTGTATCTCTTTTCCCAGGGTCTTTCTTCCTAGGCTAAGTTTAACTCTTTTTGTTGCTTGCCCATCTGTTATCCCTTGACCCAGGCATATGCCTTTATATGCTTTCAACAGAGGACCCTATGGAAAGCCACTTCAGCCCCAAGAGTGTTCTGATAGGTACAAGATAAGCCCCTGAGCCAGTCCTTCAGGGAGCTGCCAGACAAGTCAAAAAGTATAACCATAATTCTTCAAAAACAAGTCCATATTTCCTTCTCTGGTACCAGCAAGCTATACCAAGAATGCAAGCTGCCATCCCCATTGGGGAATGGAAGGATGGTATGTGAGTGAGCACAAATGTCATAACACTCTCTTCTGATACTTATTTAGCAACTTCTTTTTTCATTATACACTCCCCTGGTTGTTGTTAGTTTTTCATTAGATTCCAGAGTTCTGGAAAAGTTGATTGAGATCTGACAGTTTTTGCTAGCTAAATTGTTGCCTTAGTGGAGGGATGAATTTTTATAGCCCCATACTCTTGTCATTTTTGGTGATATCACTCCTGTATTTTTAAAATCAGAATTACATTGATTCTTGGACCAAGAAACAAACAAAATCCTGTATGCCTTAATAGCAACAGAAAAGTTAACCTAGACATTTCAAGGTTATCAGTCAGTAATATGACAATTAGTAAATTCCCTAGATTCAGTGACATTGCTAATATTGTCAGTACTGTAGTGTTAGGAATGGGTTATCTCCATTCCACCACTTACAGGCTGTATGAACTTGAACAAATAAGCCTCTCTAAGCCTCAGTTTCTAATCTGTAAAATGGGAAAATAATAATAGTATTAGCTACCTTGTAGGGTTGCAGTGAGAATGAAATGAGATAATGTAGTATTGGGCATTAGAATAGCCAAATAATAAGTGCTCAGTGAGTGGTAGCCACTGTTGTTCATTACTAAAAATGATTATGTGATAGCTGTTACTAATTTGCATTGTTGTATAATGTAAAAATACCTTAGCAAGCCAAAATCAAAACAAAAATACGAAAAGTGGTAAAATACTAACTACCCTGGCCTTCAGCGAACCCTCTATACTGTTCTGGACTAAGCATCTTTAGGGGTAAACTAATAGTGAAAGGGTTTCCTTGTGGGTGGATGATGGTGGGAAGGTAGTCAAAATATATATATATATATTATATATATTTATTATACTTTAAGTTCTGGGATACACGTGCAGAACGTGCAGGTTTGTTACATAGGTATACATGTGCCATGGTGATTTGCTGCATCCATCAACCCGTCATCTACATTAGATATTTCTGCTAATGCTATCTCTTCCCTTGCTCCCCAACCCCAAATGGGCCCCAGTGTGAGATGTTCCCCTCCCCGTGCCCGTATGTTCTCATTGTTCAACTCCCACTTAAGGGTGAGAACATGCGGTGCTTGGTTTTCTGTTCCTGTGTTAGTTTGCTGAGAATGATGGTTTCCAGCTTCATCCATGTCCCTGCAAAGGACATTAACTCATCCTTTTTTGTGGCTGCATAGTATTCCATGGTGTGTATGTGCTACATTTTGTTTATCCAGTGTATCATTGGTGGGCAATTGGGTTGGTTCCAAGTCTTTGCTATTGTGAATAGTGCTGCAATAAACATACGTGTGCATGTGTCTTTATAGTAGCATGATTTATAATCCTTTGGGTATATACTCAGTAATGGGATTGCTGGGTTAAATGGTATTTCTAGTTATAGATCCTTGAGGAATTGCCACACTATCTTCCACAATGGTTGAACTAATTTACACTCCCACCAACAGTGTAAAAGCATTCCAGTTTCTCTACATCCTCTCCAGCATCTGTTCTTTCCTGACTTTTTAATGATCGCCATTCTAACTGGCGTGGGATGGTATCTCATTGTGGTTTTGATTTGCATTTCTCTAATGAGCAGTGATGATGAGCTTTTTTTCAGATGTTTATTGGCTGCATAAATGTCTTCGTTTGAAAAGTGTCTTTTCATATCCTTCGCTCACTTTTTGATGGGGTTATTTGGTTTTTTTCTTGTAAATTTGATTAAGTTCCTTGTAGATTCTGGATATTAGCCCTTTGTCAGATGGATAGATTGCAAAAATTTTCTTCTGTTCTTTAGGTTGCCTGTTCACTGATAGTTTATTTTGCAGTGTAGAAGCTCTTTAGTTTAATTAGATCCCATTTGTCAATTTTGGCTTTTGTTGCCTTTGCTTTTGGTGTTTTAGTCATGAAGTCTTTGCCCATGCCTATGTCCTGAATGGTATTGCCTAGGTTTTCTTGTAGGGATTTCATGGTTTTAGGTCTTATGTTTAAGTCTTTAATCCATTTTGAGTTAATTTTTGTATAAGGTGTAAGGAGGTGGTCCAGTTTCAGTTTTCTGCTTATGGCTAGCCAGTTTTTCCAACACCATTTGTTAAATAGGGAATCCTTTCCCTATTGCTTGTTTTTGTCAGGTTTGTCAAAGATCAGATGGTTGTAGATGTGTGGTGTTACTTCTGAGGCCCCTGTTCTGTTCCATTGGTCTATATATCTGTTTTGGTACCAGTATCATGCTGTTTTGGTTACCATAGCCTTGTAGTATAGTTTGAAGTCAGGTGGTGTGATGCCTCCAGCTTTTTTCTTTTTCTTTAGGATTCTCTTGGCTATATGGGCTCTTTTTTGGTTCCATATGAAATTTAAAGTAGTTCTTTTGAATTCTGTGAAGAAAGTCAGTGGTAACTTGATGGGAATAGCATTGAATCTATCAATTACTTTGGGCAGTATAGCCATTTTCACGATATTGATTCTTCCTATCCATGAGCATGGAATATTTCTCCATTTGTTTGTGTCCTCTCTTATTTCCTTGAGCAGTGGTTTGTAGTTCTTCTTGAAGAGGTCCTTCACATCCCTTGTAAGTTGTATTCCTAGGTATTTTATTCCCTTTGTAGCAATTGTGAATGGGAGTTCACTCATGATTTCGCTCTCTGTTTGTCTGTTATTGGTGTATAAGAATGCTTGTGATTTTTGCACATTGAATGATTGCACAGGAATGGTTGTGATTTTTGCACTTCCATTTTGTATCCTGTGACTTTGCTGAAGTTGCTTATCAGCTTAAGGAGTTTTTGGGCTGAGACCATGGGGTTTTCTAAAGATACAGTCATGTCATTTGCAAACAGAGACAATTTGACTACCTCTCTTCCTATTTGAATACCCTTTGTTTCTTTCTCTTGCCTGATTGCCCTGGCCAGAACTTGCAATACTATGTTGAATAGGAGTGGTGAAAGAGGGCATCCATGTCCTTGTGCCAGTTTTCAAAGGGAATGCTTCCAGTTTTTGCCCATTTAGTATGATATTGGCTGTGGGTTTGTCATAAATAGTTCTTATTATTTTGAGATGCGTTCCATCAATACCTAGTTTATTGAGAGCTTTTGGCATGAAGGGGTGTTGAATTTTATCGAAGGTGTTTTCTGCATCTATTGAGATAATCATGTGGTTTTTTTCATTGGTTCTGTTTGTGTGATGGATTACATTTACTGATTTGCGTATATTGAACCAGCCTTGCATCCCAGGGGTGAAGCCAACTTGATTGTGGTGGATAAGTTTTTTAATGTGCTGCTGGATTCAGTTTGCCAGTATTTTATGGAGGATTTTCGCATCCTTGTTCATCAGGGATATTGGCCTGAAATTTTCTTTTTTTGTTGTGTCTCTGCCAGGTTTTGTTATCAGGATATTGCCAACCACATAAGATGAGTTAGAGAGGAGTCCCTTTTTTTCCATTGTTTGGAATAGTTTTAGAAGCAGTGGTACCAGTTCCTCTTTGTACCTCGGGTAGAATTCAGCTGTGAATCTGTCTGGTCCTGGACTTTTTTTGGTTGGTAGGCTATTAATTCCTGCCTCAATTTCAGAACTTGTTATTGGTCTATTCAGGGATTCAACTTCTTCCTGGTTTAGTCTTGGGAGGGTGCATGTGTCCAGGATTTTATCCATTTCTTCTAGATTTTCTGGTTTATTTGCATAGAGTTGTTTATAGTATTCTCTGATGGTAGTTTGTATTTCTGTGGAATCAGTGGTGATATCCCCTTTATCATTTTTTATTGTGTCTATTTAATTCTTCTCTCTTTTCTTCTTTATTAGTGTGGCTAGTCATCTATCTATTTTGTTAATCTTTTAAAAATCCAGCTCCTGGATTCATTGATTTTTTTTTTGAAGCATTTTTCCTGTCTCTATCTCCTTCAGTTCTGCTCTGATCTTAATTATTTCTTGTCTTCTGCTAGCTTTTGAATTTGTTTGCTCTTGCTTCTTTAGTTCTTTTAATTGTCATGTTAGGGTGTTGATTTTAGATCTTTCCCGCTTTCTCATGTGGGCATTTAGTGCTATAAATTTCACTCTAAACACTGCTTTAGCTGTGTCCCAGCAATTCTGGTACGTTGTGTCATTGTTCTCATTTGTTTCAAAGAACTTACTTATTTCAAGCAGCCAAAACTTATGCCTGCATCTGTCAGTTTTAGAGTGTAAACTATAGCATAAGGATCTTGTATTTAAAATTTTGTTGTGTACAACATGGAAGATACAATCCTTTTTGTATGGCAGCAGTGAGTGCATTTTGAAAAGTTTGGTGGGATAATTTAAAGTTTATTTACCCTTGAAATGTTCTAGACTGACTTGAAGGATCTAGGTGCTTCTTTTCAAGCCAGCCAGCTTTAAAAAAAAGTTAGCTCTTAAAATGCTTCTAGCAGAGCTGTCAGTTTTCTTTCTGGCATTTTGTGAAAACAAGTATTCTAGCTATTGTATGAATTTTAGTCACCTCATGGAATTTTTTAAGTGTAGTTGAAAAGAAAAGTGGGTACTTTTAGAAAAAAAACTGACAGGTTTTCAGGGCTCATGTAGACCTGAAGAAAAATGAGAGGGAGCAAAATTAAGGCATTTTTTGTGTGTGTATCTTTTTGGGGGGGGATTGGGTAGAGTGGCTTTACCATATTTTTTGAAAAAGTCCCTTTTTTTCATTTGAGGAGCTAATTCAATTGGTTTGGGCAAAAGCAGCATTATCAGAAATACACAGTTGGATTCTGTATCATGCCTCTGTTTAGTAAGACCACGGGGAGATAATGGAATAGGAATTAGAAACCTCAGGCTTGAGTGCCCGTAGCAGTATTAAACTAAGAATTTAAAAACAGGCAGAACAAAAAGAAATCAGTGAACACCTGAAAAGGGAGACACAAAAATGGAGTAGCAAGGAGATAAAGAGAAGACATCCATGCTGAGGGGAGCAGTAGATTGCTATCAGAAATTGTCCCAAATAACTGTGTTTCCCTACCTCTGAAGTAGAAATTAGCTTTTAGCATGCTAGAAAGAGACTAGATATAGATAGGCCAAAAGGAATTTAAAATTTACAAAGCCAAATACCTTTTTCAAAGTACCTTTTCTATCTAGTTTGTTAAGCAGGAATTCATTAGATATCATTTGTCAGCCCTAGAGTTGGGTTTGTGTTATATCAATGTTCTCTTAGCCTACACTTTCTGTTATAAGCAGATTATGTCTGATATATCCTACTTATGGACGGCTTGTATCAGACTTTGCTGGAATGCTTATAAAGAAAACCAGGGGGTTTGGGATATGACCTGCATATTGAGCCATACAGAATGGTCCAAGTAAATGAAAATGCTATCTTATATGAGTTTCAAATAATTTTCGAGGTAATTTAATCACCAGTGGCAATCTGACACATGCATAAAAAGTAACAAACGTAAAGGAGCATTATAGAAAAACATAATGAAATTGTCCAGCTATGGAATCGAAAGTTAAGAAATGTGCTTGAGGGTTCTCTTCCAAGTCCCCATTAGTAAATATAAGAGCAAGCAATTTCGGTATTAAATTACTGAAAGTTGAAACTGTAAAGAAGCAGAAAATATTCCAATTCTACTTTCTCAACTTCTTTTATTACATTATCTCATCATTCCAGCTGTTGTGTGGAATGTGTGATAATTTCTCCATTCTGTCCACAAACACAATAGGGTTAGGAATATTAGAAGTACTCAGAGATTCGTACCAATTTTCTAAAGATCTTGGGTTCTAATAAGCCAGCTCAATGAAATTATTGTGTCTAAAATGTGTCTTTGGTATATTCACTCTTAATATGATAAAGAAATTCCTCTTTGTACATTCGTCCCCAAATTTCATGATTTAAAAGGAATTGGTTCTGGAGTTTTTTCTTAACTTTTAATATTCAGCCATTGGTTTTAATTGCCCTGATTTTGGCAAATGCTTTGCAATTCTTTGTTACTCTTAGTAGCAAGCAGCTTGGAATCTCACATCACTTAGCTAAAACTTATGAAGCAGTGTGCAATTTTCTTGATGACAAAAATGTTATGATAAATGAACCTATTTGAATGGGAACAATGAAACTTCATAGAAGTTGCTTAAACAAACATAAAAAAACTTTTGTCAGGACCTTTTCTTCTGTCTTTTAAATAGGCCTTGCTGTTGGTGTTACGTACCCAGAGATGTGAACATTTGGTAGATAAAGGAAAAACTATTAGAGGTAGAGGGGAATCCCATACATATTTTTTGTTTGTGTGTTGCTTTTTTGTGGTGGTGCTGGTGGAGATTTTTTGGTCGTTGTACTTTCTTTTGTTTTACTCTGTCATTCTCAAAATCCTTGGAGGTTGAGGGGTGTTAGAAATTATTTAGAGCAGGGGTCAGCAATCAATGGCTCTTGGGCCAAATCCAGCATGCCACCTATTTTTGCAAGGCTCCTGTGCTAAGAATACTTGAAAACATTTTTTAATGGTTGGAAAAACAATCAAGAAGAATATTTTGTGATAGATGACAATTACATGAAATTCAGATTTCATTGTTCATACATAAAGTTTTATTGGAGCACAGCCACACTTGTTCACTTGCTTATCATGTATGGTTGCTTTCATGCTACAATGACAGAGTTGAATTGTTGTGACAGAAACGATATGCCTGTAAACCCTAAAATATTTACTGTCTGGAAAAGCGAGCTCAAGAAAACAATCTCATTTACCATAGCATCAAAAAGAATAAAATACTTAGGAATAAATTTAACCAAGGAGGTGAAAGATCTATATACTCAAAACTATGAAGCACTGATGAAAAAAATTGAAGAGGACACAAATAAATGGAAAGATTTTAATATCTTTGGATTTATGGAAAGATATTTTAATATTATAAAAATTTCCACACTACCCAACACAATCCCTATAAAAATTTCAACAGCATTTTTCACAGCAATAGAAAAAAGTCATAACATTAACATGGAACAATCGACCCCAAATAGCCAAAGCAATCTTGAGAGAGAGGAACAAAGTTGGAGGCATCACAGTTCCTAATTTCAAATTACAAAGCTGTATTAATCAAAACAGTATGGTACTGGCATAAAAACAGACACATAGACCAATGGAACAGAATATAGAGCCCAGAAATAAACCCATCCATATACATTCAACTAAACTTCTACAAGGGTGCCAAAAGTACAAAATGTGGAAAAGATAGTCTTTTCAATAAATCATGTTGGGAAAACAGGATATCCACATGCAAAAGAATGAAACTGGACCATTATCTTATTCATACAAAAGAACCCCTCAAAATGGATAAGAGGCTTACACATAAGCCTTAAACCCTCAAAACTCCTAGAAGAAAACATAGGGAAAGGCTCCTTGACATTACCCTTGGCAATGATTTTTTGGATATGACACCAAAAGCTCAAGTCAGTGGAAGCAAAAATAAACAAGTAGGTCTAAATCAAACTGAAAAGCTTTTGTACAGCAAAGGAAACAGTCATCAAAACTATAAAGCAACCCATGGAATGGGAGAAAATATTTGCAAATCACATATCTGATAAGGGGTTAATATCCAAAATACAGAAGGAACTCACACAACTTACACACACACACACACACACACACACACACACACCCCAATTTTAAAATGGGCAAAGGACTTGAATAGACACTTTTCAAAGAAGACATACAAATTGTCAATAGGTATGAAAAGGTGGTCAACATCACTAATGACCAGGGAAATGCAAATCAAAATCACAATGAAATATCACTTCATATCTGTTAGGATAGCTATTGCCAAAAAGATAAGAGATAACAAGTGTTGGTGAGGATGTGGTGAAAAGGAAACCCTTGTACACTGTTGGTGGGACTCTACATTGAGAAAACCATTTTGGAAAAGTGTAGAGATTCTTCAAAATATTAAAAATAGAAATATTACATGATCCAGAAATTCCTCTTCTATTTATAGGCACAAGGGAAATGAAATCAGCATATCAAAGAGATGTCTGCATGCCCATGTTCATTGCAGCATTGCAGAATGGCTATTCCATAGGCGGGGCAGCAGCATGAGCTGCTGCTCGCCCATTTTTATGGTTATTTCTTGATTATATGCTAAACAAGAGATGGATTATTCACACCTCCCCTTTTTAGACCACATAGGGTAACTTCCCGATGTTGCCATAGCATTTGTAAACTGTCATGGCGCTGGTGGGTGTGTAGCAGTGAGGGTGACCAGAGGTTACTCTTGTCGCCATATTGGTTTTGGTGGATTTTAGCTGGCTTCTTTACTGCAATCTGTTTTATCATCTATGTCTTTATGACCTATATCTTGTGCTGACCTCTTATCTTATCCTGTGACTTAGAATACCTTAACTGTCTGGGAATTTAGCCCAGCAGGTCTCTGCCTTATTTTACCAAGCCCCTGCTCAAGATGGAGTTGCTCTGGTTCAAATGCCTCTGACATTTCACCCCTCCCTTTTATAAGAGAACCCTTAATCCTAAGGGTTGCAGAAGGATGAAGATCCATCTGATGCAATTTCTTCAGGCTGAATAGGGATGATGATCTTCCTGCCTAACTGTGAGGGTCTCTTGTATTCAGGGTAGAGAGGAGCTCAGTCAGAAAGCATCAATGTGTTGAGGGCCATTCATAACTCTTGAGTTTTGACAAAAGGCGATATCTGGAAGGTTAATAAGTGTTTAATTTAAGATTGAGTAAACTTATTCTGCATTCCTGCACAAAGAGTACAACAATATATTCCACAACAGTAAAGCAAAATAAGCAAAATTATCCCAAGTAAACTAAATTAGAAGGCTTTCAATGAACTGTGCAACTCTTGGAACCAAGTTGATGTGGGGTTGCTAGCTGATTCTGGTGTGTCCAGAATAGAATACTGATCTTGATTTTTGTATTACCCATCCCTCTTGTTTCTTCTGAGCAGCAGCCAGAGATCACAGGAACAAGCAGGCTCACAGGAACAAGCAGTCAGTCTAAATTGCAGAAAACACTCTAAAACAACTGTTGAGACTAGAATATAACAACAAGTATACCATAGTTCTTGAAACATACTTTTTTTTCTCTCCAGTCTCCGATTTTTACTAAAGATAAATCATGGTAAGACTGATTTGCTTTATTATGCTTGGCCTGATTATTTGTATAATGTCCAACAAGAATAATTTTTTTTTTTACATAGACTTTTTTTTTTTTTTTTGAGACAGAGTCTCGCTCTGTCGCCTAGGCTGCAGTGCAGTGGCACGATCTTGGCTCATTGCAACCTCCGCCTCCTGGGTTAAAGTGATTCTCCTGCCTCAGCCACCAGAGTAGCTGGGATTACAGGCACATGCCACCATACCTGGCTAATTTTTGTATTTTTATTAGAGACGGGGTTTCGTCATGTTGGCCAGGCTGGTCTCAAACTCCTGACCCCAAGTGATCCGCCCGCCTCAGCCTCCCAAAGTGCTGGGATTACAGGTGTGAGCCACCATGCCCAGCCTACATAGGCTTTTTAAATTGGCTTTGATGGAACTGTGCTTCATAAGGAATCTTAGAGAAGACTTTTTTAAAGCCAAACCCAGTCATGGGTTTGTACCCTCAAATGCCTATCAGTTGTTTAAATTCCTTTCCTCTTGAGGTCCCAGGATAATCTGGGGCTCCTGGGCCTGTCAGAAAGCAACATTCTTTACTTACCATAGGTTAGGAACCCTGCACAGGAAGTGTGTAGACAAGGTATGAGGCCAGTTTTCCCAGGGGGCTTTTATTGACTCTGTAAGTCAAGTTACATTCCTTAAAGGAAAGCATGCCATTCCAGTCAAAGCCTTGGTAAAATAACCAGTTTCTCCAATTGTGTCCTGTTGCAAAATAAAACAGTTTATTTTTATTTATTTATTTATTTATTTTTGAGATGAAGTCTCACTCTGTTGCCCAGGCTGGAGTGCAGTGGCATGATCTTGGCAACCTCCACCTCCCAGGTTCAAGTGATTCTCCTGCCTCAGCCTCCCAAGTAGCTCGGATTACAGGCACCCACCACCACACCCGGCTAATTATTGTATTTTTAGTAGAGACAGGGTTTTACCATTAGCCAGGCTGGTCTCAAACTCCTGACCTCAAGTGATCCACCCACCTTGACCCCCCAAAGTGCTGGGATTACAGGCGTGAGCCACCATGCCCAGCCAAGAAAACAGTTTCTTATTGCACTTATGCAAATTACTATATTTCCATAAATTAAGAATACTCACAAGTAGTTTCCAAATTTTGGAAAAATCAGGTAGAGAGAAACATATATGCTCCAAATTTTGTTTACAGGAGTATATTTTGCTCAATTGCTACAAGCTGTAAATAGCTTAAAAGTTTTCTGGACTCTGAAAAATAAAACAAAGGATCAGCAGCATTTTAAGCAAAGTAAAAAAGATTACTTCAGTCTTGTATTAGTTCAGTACATTCAATTCACTCCTATTCTGTTTGATATTCATAAACATTTTAGCTTTCCATGAGAGTCCTAAAAGTTTTTTTCTCTATTCTAATTTCATAAATCTGCAAAGTTATCAGACACCTGCATTTAAGAACACCTGTCAAAGTCATATAGCTGACTATAAACCACCTTTTGAAGAGGATCAGAACAAGACAACAATTGTCTGTGGATATTAAAAAGTCTTAGGACAGCCACTATTCAAGGAAATTTTGGTTACTTCTGTGGCATACAATTGTACATAATAATTGTAACTATTAATAACATACACGAAGTTATAGCAGGCTTATAGGAGTTTTACATAATTTTGGAACAGAGATCAGTAACATATTTATATAAATACAGCCCAAAGAAAGCCAAATACCATTTCATATTTGACAGTGCTTCCTGTATGATTTTTATACTAAATGAGCCAAATTTCACCATTGCATTTGTGCATTATTGATGTCAAACCCAATTCCTAACAAAACCTTATAGACGTATCTACCCAATTTTAATGTTTGACCATAAGGTAAGATTCTCATAAACCTTTTATAACCCTTTACAAAAATTTTTGTTAAACAGTAGATAAGTGCTCTAAGAAAAACCTGTTGTACTTTTATTCCAGTGTTCAACTTACGGAAAAACCGAATAATACCCCCTTTAACTTTAGCCAGTATGTCACACACATAATTTTTTTTACAGGATTAATTTTTCACAAACCTTCCACAACTTGCTCAGACTTTCAGCTTTATCCTAACTTAAAACAATCCTTTAACCCTTTAATCTAGGCAGAAAAATCCTTATTTCCATGCCTTCTTGTAATCTTTTACCAAAAACTCATTTCACTATCTTTGCACACCTTGCATGTAAAACTGTTTCTATTTCCCAAAGATTACTTAAGTCATGTGAACTAAGTCATTACACTTTTTACTTTTCTGACAAAATGTTTGATCTAAACTTTTGTTATTATTAAACCAATTAATCAAAGCTCTTTTAGATATAAGCATCATACACACAACAAATATAAATACGCAGACAGAAGATCCTGTAGCTGTAAGGTTCTTCATTCGCCAGTTTTTAAGTTTCTCTTTAAAGCCTAGTTTCTAGGGCATAATAAGCAGGCACAGCTGGAAGGCAAAACAGATCTCCAGAAATTAAGGGTCCCATTTTATACCAGATCCTGGATCCCAAAAAGAGGGAATCAGCTCATCCCCATGGGAGTGTTATCTCTCAGTGGGGGATGGGGACATCTCCATACTTCCTAGGTGGCTAAGAGCATGCTTCTCTGATCCAAACCTGCAGAGCAGAGCTGAGTATTTCCCCATAACTGCCATTAGCTGTCCTCAAAAGTATATTTCCTATATAGTTATTACACACCAAAGTTCTCTCATAATGCAAATTAATTTCTGTCACCCCCCCAAAAGTAAAAAATATCAGATAATGGAATGCAAAATGGAACAGAGCCTTAGATTTTGAGAGGAATCTTATCTACTTCTTAGTCCTGAAGTTTCATGAGTAAAACAGAGGTTTATTCCAAAACGGGATCTGTGGCACTTCCTCTTTTTTCCTAAGGAGTCCCAGGCTGTTAGAACTGGAATATCTGCTTTTAATTAAGCTGACTTTTAACCACAGTGCTCTTTAAAAAAAAAAAAAAGGCCTTTTAAATTTCTTATTATCAGACTTTAGCCGGCTGATATTTCTGGCTTTTAAACTTTACCAAAAGTAACTTCACAGGTGCTCAGAGAAAGGAAAAATTCAAGAAAGGCACACAGTTAACAAACCAGAAAGTGGTCATTCCCTAAGCCAGAAATTGAGTCCTGCACCCAGGCTGCCATTGTGATGGCAGAGACCAAAAGAAAGCACTGCCACGTGGTTACAAGGTCAAGCTTCCAAGGACGTGACTGACCAGTTTGCTGGGCTGTCTTGAACAGTAGGCTTATGGGATCCTAAGCCCATGTTCTATCTTAAGGTACTCCTCTTTAGGACAGAATGATACAGAAAGACAAATTCATAGCACAAAGTATAACAGATTCACTACAGCTTAAGACTAGCTTCACAAATCCTTTTTCCAATTAATCAGAATTTTACAGAGGAGCTAAACAGTGATTTTTACCATTCATTCAACCAGTTCACACAGAGAGAGAAAGGAAAGGAAAGGGAGAAAAGTATTGCCTCCATTGGGAGGGGAAGGCAAAGAGCTCAGGGAGGCCAGAGAAAGACCCACCCATTGCAGCGACACTGAAGAGTTCAGGTGGCCACTTGCCAGTAGCAAAGGGATTTTTTCCAGCAGTCCCATCAGCTCTCAAGTTTCCCCTTTTGGGGAGGAAAAAAGTCCCCATATCCCATGGTCCTGTACATGCCTAATCCTGTCATCCATAGCCATCAGCAAAAAGTGCAAGACAGATTAATCCAAATAGAGTAGCAGTTAACATCCCATAGTGCCAAACCTGTTCTCAGCTGAGAGGGACTTTACTGAAAGGGGCCTCTAACCCCCTAAATCTTAGGAAGGACCCTAACCTTCCTAAGTTGGGCCTCGAACCCAAGGTCATTCAAGTGTCCTTGCTTTTTATTGAGAGGAGCCTTTAACCCTGTCTTAGGAGAAACTCTTAACACTCCTAAGTTGGGCCTCTAACCAATCCCATTCTTTACCTGCGTATATGCACCCGACCTACCCAAAGTCAGTCAATTGGTGTGCGCAGGTGATTTTCCTTTGGGTCGGGTTTCTTTAGTATAGTCCCTTCGGTGGTCTCCAGAAAGATACTACTGGACCTCACCACTTACCCAAAGTTAGCCTTTAGGTCGAGGGTTTCCTCAGTATTGTCTCTTATGTGGTTGCCAGAAAGATGTTACTGGAAAGGGGTCCTGATCCAGACCCCAAGAGAGGGTTCTTGGATCTCATGCAAGAAAGAATTCAGGGCAAGTCCTTAGAGAAAAGGGAAAGCAAGTTTATTAAGAAAGTAAAGGAATAAAAGAATGGCTATTCTGTAGGCAGAGCAGATTTTTATGGTTATTTCTTGATTATGTGCTAAGCAAGCACATAATCAAGGTGGATTATTCTTGCCTCCCCTTTTTAGACCATATAGGGTAACTTCCTGATGTCGCCATGGTATTTGTAAACTGTCATGGTGCTGGTGGGAGTGTACTAGTGAGGATGACCCAAGATTACTCTTGTCGCTATCTTGGTTTTTGGTGGGTTTTAGCCAGCTTCTTTACTACACAACCTGTTTTACCAGCCAGGTCTTTATGACCTGTATTTTGTGCCGACCTCGTAGCTCATCCTGTGACTTAGAATGCCTTAACCACCTGGAAATGTAGCCCAGCACGTCTCAGCCTTATTTTACTAAGCCCCTACTCAAGATGGAGTTGCTCTGGTTCAAATGCCTCTGATACTTTGGGAGACACTTGACCCGAGAAGCAAATTTTTTCCTCACTAAATTGTTGGTAGATTTCAAAAAGGTGTGTGTCCATTTTGCAGATGTCTGTGTGGTATTTCACATGGAGAGAGTCTTTATTCTGCCTTCTTTCAGCTCCACTTTTGAAACGTTACCAAGGGTAAAGTGGCCTCAAGGAAACTTTGATTGGAGTTGCAAACTAAAGAGTATCTGAGACAGGTCTCAATTTACAGGTTTATTTTGCTAAGGTTAAGGACCATGGCACATGACACAACCTCAGGAGGTCCTGAGAACATGTGTCCAAGTTGGTTTGGTTATAGCTTGTGTTTATACAATGGGGGCGGGGGGCTTGGGGTGGTGCGACTTCCAGGTCATAGGTTGAAAGAGTTAAGCCCTGCCTGAAGAGTTGAATTCAGCTTAAAGAAATGCTTGAGTTTGAACAGGGGCTTGTGGAATCCAAGGTTCTTCTCATGTAGATGAAGCTTTCAGGTCGCAAGCTTCAGAGATAAAGATGGTGAATGTCTCTTATCAGACCTTAAAAGGTGTCAGGCTTTCCAGAAAAGACTTAATAAGGGAAGGAGATTCTCTACAGAATGCAAATTTCCCCCACAAGAGACAGATTTATAGGGCCATTTCAGAATATGTCAAAGAAATATATTTTGGGATAAAATACTTTGATTTCCTTCAGGGCCTGTTAATCTGTCATATGATACTATAGCAGTCAGGTTGGAATTTGGCATGTCATTGCCACAAATTCTGCTTTGTCACTCTTAAGATCGCTGTTTTAATGTTAATGCTGGTCAGTTGTTTCTGAACTCCAAAGGGAAGAGGGTATATTAAGGCATGTCTAATTCTGCCCCGTGCCCCCCCCCCCAACACACACACAACCAGCATCATGGCCTGAACTAGACTTCCAGGTTTCTTTGGGGTCCCCTTGGCCAGGAGGGGGGCCATTCAGTTGGTTGGGGGACTTAGTAGCATTTTACTTTTGGCTTACAGAGTCCGTCATCTGGTTACATAGAATCGTTTGTCAAAACTGATCTTGTGACCAGTATATAAATTTAGCATTCCGATTAAGACGAAAGAAGGCACAGAAACAAGATGTGGAGCATAATAAAATACAGTAAAGAGAGAACAAAAGAGGAGTATTTGAAAAGAGCATAAAAGCCATTTAAGAAAGAAATTGGGTTGAAGACTTTAGGGGATTTAAGAAGCAAAGACCAAAAAAAAAAAAAAAAAAAAAAAAAAAAGAAAAGAGACAGAAACCAGAAAGAAAGGGGATGAAAAGAAAGTACAATTTGACATTTATAATGGGTAATACAATTTACTTCATACCCGGACCACAAATTTTATTTTTGTCATTTTTTTTTTTTTTTTTTTTTTTTTTTTTTTTTGAGACAGAGTCTCGCTCTGTTGCCAGGCTGGAGTGCAGTGGCGTGATCTCGGCTCACTGCAGCCTCCACCTCCTGGGTTGAAGCGATTCTCCTGCTTCAACCTCCTGAGTAACTGGGACTACAGGCGCACGCCACCACGCCCAGCTAATTTTTATATTTTTGGTAGAGACGGGGTTTCACCATGTTGGCCAGGATGGTCTCGATCTCCAGACCTCGTGATCCGCCCGCCTTAGCCTCCCAAAGTGCCAGGATTATAGGCGTGAGCCACCAGGCCCGGCCTATTTTTTGTCTTTTTAGGCATACGTTAAAAGCATAATCATCTCTCCAATATGGCTATGGTTTTAATTTTCTGTATGTTTATGAACAAAGGAAATAATCTTTGAATATTAAGTGTCCACTCTGAAACTTCCCCCTACTTTTTTTCCTTGTCAGCAGATTCCAGAGTCATTAAAAAGTATCACATGGCAGAGATTGGGAAAAGGCAATTCAGGACAGTTCTTAGATGCTGCAAAGGTAAGATTGAGCAAACATGTCTACATATAGCTAGGAAAAACCTGTAAACCCTTGGAGTATTTCCCAATTTATACTACATATTTTACATCTCCCTTTTTGTGTTTTTCTAAATGCTGACAAGATGAATAAGAAGGTATGTTTCTGCTTCTGGAAATGCAGAGAGAAGTCTTGATGTTTTCTACCCCTGGAAAAATCTATCTGAATCTCTTGAATCAGTGTCAACTAAAGTAATATTTTCAGAAAGCTTTTATAAATGTAATAGCAACTTGTTGACACTTAAATTTATCCTGTTAATTTATATCTGATATGTGAAATGCTTTATGTTTTTTAATGTTACCAATGTTCAGATAGTAGAAATACCAAGGGATTCTAAGCTTATTAGAGCCCATCAGGTAGGTAGTGCTGAGTTTACATGTTGATGAGGTTATTTTTCATTGCTAATATAAGTGAAAGACATCTTTAAAAATTCTCAGTGCTTTAAAATGAGACCCATAAATCTCCGTGATAGAAAAGACTAGAAAATTAGAAGACAGTCTAAATTTTGGGTATTTTGTTTATTTTTTCTTTCTTATTAATAATTATTTGCCATTAAGATACAAAGCATTGTTCTAATTTATGCAGAGGCTGTAGAAATGAATTACATTTTCCATTATTAAAGTGTTAAGGGGAAAATGTGCTTAGTTTTCTTATTGTCTATGACACCACTAAGTTTATTTCTATTTTAGTCTTTTGTTTTGTTGAAGACCTCACTCTCTTGTGTGGTATTCACCAGACCCCTTGATAAAACTTGTTGCTCAATCTTTTAGAGGAAAAAATGGCACAAAGAGACATTGTCAGACCAGGAATTACCTTTTGATGTTTTCCTTTTACAAAGTGCTTTGAGATTATTGATCCAAAAATCAATATCCTGTTTATGGCAATCACTTTTTCTATCTCAACTGGTGAGAGCAAGAAGGCACTTTTTGCTTTTTGTAACTCCATTTTCATAGCTTGGCCCAGAGCTGATATTGCTATGCTATGTATGATATTGATACGCATTTGTGTTTGTAAAGAACTGTGCCCTTGTTCATTAATTATTGATTATTATAGCTACTGAAAAATCATCTAATCCAACAAGTATTGAAACTTACCTTGCCCGTGTGTAAGATACTGTGGTATGTTCCATGGGAGATACAAAGATAAAAGACACTGTCTCTGATCTTTAGAAATTTATCGTGTAATAAGAAAGGCAAAACAGTGTATGCAAATGACTACAATATAGGCATAAGACAGACTATGAGATATTAAAAAATACCTTGTTTCTAAATGTATATATGAGCAAGTACAACAAGAAAAAGAATCAGTTGTTTAAAATTAACTGTGTTAACTATAAAAAAGAAATGTATACACAAGGAAAGCAAGTGAGATATAAATTAACTGCATATTATACTTGCTTGCCAATAATGGAATAAGAGATTATCGGCACTATAGTAGTGAATGACACTGGGAAAGCCAGTATAAGTCAAGTAGAAGTGTAAAACAGGTTAAATCCTTTAAACGTGAGTTTCAAAAGCTATTTAGAGATAGTGACTTCAGTATGAGTTTGTTGTATCTTAATATTTTTAACATAAATTTAGCTATAAGTTAATTGTGGAGGTGTTTTGCTTTACTATGCCAGACTAAATACTATACCTGTGAATTTGTTTTGGAAACGTTCATTAGATTAGACTGTTCAAGCCAAATTGTGAAACATCTGAAATTCTGTAATAGCTAACGGACTGCTTGGTATCATCTTCAATTAGGCTCTCCAGGTATGGCCACTGATAGAAAAGAGGACATGTTGGCATGGTCATGCAGGAGGAGGACTCCACACAGACCCAAAAGAAGGGGTAAGAGCCAGTAACAAGTAACTGGAAATTCTTGATGATTGTCCTTGCACAGAAGATATATGTATTTAAGATTATAATATCCTAGAATATTTTGATTGACTCATCTAACTGCATGTTCTCTAATGAAAAAAAAAACATATTAATTGACCATAGTTTATAGATGATATTTTCTCGGACTTAAAGATTTATGATTGACTAAAAAAGAAAAGTTATTTATCCACCTAAATGTTTTAGTTCTTTAAAATAGCATCATTTGAGGTTGTTATGTAATTTAGCCTTATAATAAGTAAGCAAATTAGATTTAGCACCTAAAAAACAATTTGTGTGTGTGCGTGTGCTTCAAGGTTAATGTTTCCCCTTCTATACACTTAGAGAAATCCTAGAATATCCCCTAGCTTCATGGTAAATCCTCTATCTACCTGATCCACCTAGTTATCCACATTCTTTATCGTTATTATTATCATTATACAGACATGCTAAGCAGTAGGGCTGTTGAAATAGAAAGACTTGCACTATATATTTTTTCTCAGTAAGTGAAAAATGTCATTGGAATACTGTTATACAGTATTACATCTGGCCCTTTTTCTCTGAGCTTGCCTTTATTTTCTTCCTCTGGCTTGACCCAATCAGTATATACATGTTATTTCTAAGTAGAAATGATATTTTCAGGGTTGGTGGTCAAGTGAACAAATTTTATGTAAAAGTACTCTTTAAATTGCAAAGAGAGAAGTAAATGTTAATTATTTTATTCATAGAAAGTGATTGGCAGGAAACAGTTTTCAGTGCTTTTTTCCATTCTTTGATTCCTAGTACAGTTCTTTCAAGGAACTCAAAACACTTCACATTCATGTTTCTGTCCCATTTTTGTACATTATCCTTCATAGCTGATTTTTAAAACTGCAAAGTATCATAAAATAAATTTTAAAATATTAACCCAAATAGTGAGATTTGTTTGTCTTTGCATTAGTCTTTGGTATGATATTTGCCAGTTTTCAGGATCATCTGTCACCAAGGCCTCTTAAGGATAGTTGCTAATAATCTAAACACAACCAAAAACATGTTGACTTAATAAAGGAGAAGCAGCTACTTCTTTTAGGCTCAAGCAGTATAAACTTCAAGACAGTTTCTTTCTGCTCCAGTAAAATAAAGCAACACTCATCGTAATACTTTATAGTTAGTCTGTAGCCCTTTGTTTGTTTTCCCTTGCCATCTTTGTATTAGTTTAGCCTTTTTATCGAATTGGAATCATAGAATCATATAGATTGGAGACCATGTCAGAAAATAGTGTGGAGTTGTAGTTAAGAGCTTGAGCTCTGGAGCCAGACTGCCTGGATTTGAATTGTGGCTCCATCACTTGCTAGTAGAATGACCTTGAGCTAGTTACTTAATCTCTGTGTACTTCAGTTTCTTCATCTGTAAAATGGAGATGATAATTTTGAAGGGGATTTAAATGAGTTAACTCCTCACACCATGTTAAAGCTCTTAAATAGTGCTTGACACATAGTAAGTGCTCAATAAATTTTAGCTGCTGTTGTTATAATGTGAGATTGTAAGGCCTGTCCTCTACCATAATCCATTTATTTAAAAAGTATATATTGAATACCTTCTTTGTGCTAAACTCTGTGTTAAGTACTGGAGATATGCAAGACAAAATCTCTGCTGTCTAGAAACTTAACAACATGGCAGAATATGTAAACTGCCATGTAGAAGTTTTATCACTGTGACAAATAATAGATTTTACCTTATAACCAACTGAAATCTGTAGTGCTTTACTTTTTGTGTGCTTGTTTATAGAGAAGGGATCTCTCTGTGTTGCCCAAGCTGCTCTCGAACTCCTGGGCCCAAGCGATTCTCCCACCTTAGGCTCCCAGAGTAGCTGGGACTACAAGTGTGCACCACCAAACCCAGCTTTGCTTCCCTTTTTATTCATTTACATGTGTGTGTTCTTAACAGCTAACAATCAGTATTAATAATGCTGCTTGGAATTTATTTAAATCATCCATTTATATAGCATGGGATCATAAAGGGTTTGTGAAAAAGGAGTGGCAATTTCAGTATTTGAAAACTCCAGTTTTTAAAGTAGATGAATTAAGGAATTGTTTTATAATAGAATCCCCAGATTTTTAAAGGATTTTGGAGCTTTATTCCTGCATTTAAATTTTTATTTATATGCTGCTTTGAAGAGGCATCTGCTAGTAAATTTAGTTAGCCATGTATCTTAATAAGGACACAAATAATGAAGACCCTAATGAAAGGATTCTTTCTGAGATTTTGCTTGACATACTCTTTTTTATGTTAGAAACACATTCTTATTGATTGGACACAGTCAGAAGCTAGTAGTTTTTAAAGAGAAATTTTCACTTACTTAAGCAATTGGAGAGCTTGATGTAATCAGAAGAAGTGAAACAGTAACTTGGAATATTAAAAATTGGTATTAAAACTTGGAGTAACTTGGAGGATTAAAAATTGGAAGATTGGGAAGAGGTTTGTTAAAATGAGTGGACACATTAGACCAGTGGGCAAGCATACCTGGATGACATGGTGAGGCTGTATTCCAGCTCTGATTTCATACATAATCAAATAGCCTTATGATCTTCATTTGATTTCTAAAATTGTCTTTCCTTTGGGATAGAAAATTCATTGACTGGCCAACTTGAATATCAGTCTGGCGGGTAGTTCTTTTTATTGTAAATTATTAAATGGACTGTAAAATACAAATCCATCTTATATGTAGCATAATCCATTTAAGGAAAGGGTCTAATCACCACCGAATAAGTTCTTCATTGAACTTTCAGACCAACAAAGCTCGGAAAACAAACCCTGAAGTATAATGTAACAAAAATTGTAAAGCCTTTCCTGACAACTCATACATATTTTCTTCTCTTATCCCAAATTCACTATATGTATCTCTCCAACAACACAATAAAAATTTTCCAGTTATACTCTGGATTTTTTAGACATCGACTGAACTCGCTAGTTTTTGACCTTCTTTTTATAAATCCATTGTTATCTTTAATAGTACTGAAGTGGTTTCTTCCTTTTATTGCAGTTGTTGGGTTGAGGAGACAGTTCTTTTCTCTGGATAGTTTGCTTATCCCTGAAATTATGGACACTTCCAAATTTTCTTCTAGATTGGTTCTTTAGGGAGAAAACCTTCAGCCTATAGCTCATATTTTTACAAAACAGCATTCCAATTTTTTTTTATGTTTTTTAGTTCCTCACTACAAGTTTTGTCCCCAAGTAGTTTCTTTCAAAATCAGTCCCTTGATTCTATGAGGTATTACATTTCTTGCTTTTAGAATTTAGGAATGTCTGTAAAACCAGAATTCTTAGAGAAATTCCTCATCGGCTAAGGAAAAGGTGATTCTTCTACCTTTATCAAAAGATCATTTTTTTTTTCTTACTCTTCATTTTCTTATCAAGGGCCACTGGGCTTCACTCCCTTGAAAAGAACAAGCAACGGATAGAAAAATAGGCTCTTGCTTCAGTGCTTGACCTTTCCTGGCGAGAAATAGAAACTTACTTACCTGAGAAACAGAATGTGTATTCAATTTATTAATATACAGTTATCTTTAATATCTGAAAATTCTACCAAATGAGCTGCTCCAGCTGTTTTGGTTTTTTATTCTCAGGTCTTGTCTACATCGTTATTAGGTATAGCTGTTCACTTGTAGTACATTTGGCCATGAGGCAGTGCTTCTCTTCCTCAAATCACACTGTCAAATTGAGCACTGTCAATTCATGAGAAGTATAATTTGTGGCTTTCCAGTTACACCCTACTGAGTTTGGTACTTCCAGTTTTATTTGTGTACTTATTTATTTATGTATTTGTTTTTGACCCACCATACTGTGATTGTGCTATTTCATTGTATAGATGTTCTTTTCATTATTTCTTACCTGTCCAGCCTCATGAAGCTTATGAAGCTGTATGTTAATACCAAATAAGTAAATATTTAAAAATCTGTCAGAAGTTGTGGTGATTTAATTATTAGGTATTGCCTCTAGGATATTAATAAGAATTTCCCATCATGTGTTTGAAAATAGATACATTAATTAATTAATGGAATAAGTATTTAGTGAGTATTTCTGATATCAGTCAAGTTTCTTTTTCTTCTGATTTTTTTCTCTTGGGCCACCTCGTTTTCAGTTGCTTTCAGCTTCTCTCAGCCCTCTGTCATTTCCGAACTTTTTCTTCTAAAGTCATTTCTGAAAAAAAAGTAAATAAAATTTTGTTACTATTCCAAGATCTTAGTGACTCTATCTGAATTTATTTCTTTGTTACCATTGTGGTTTTTTTTTTTTTTCTGGATCTAATTGCTTCCTTTAACTATGACTATCTAATTCCAATATATAGTTGAGATTTTCTAAAAACTTTAATTCCTCATACTAATAGAGTACTAGTTTTACATTGCAATGGGGCTGTAAATTTGAGGCATGTTGTATATTCTGATAGCAGAGGAGGAACAGGTTCTCACCGAGGATCTGCTGTAACCACTCCCTGGCTACTGCCTATGTTTGGTAAGTCCCTGGGACTATGCAGTCAGCAGGTGGCAAAGCCAGCCAGGCCCACATTCTTTGCCAGCCAGGCCCACGTTCCTCCTCTCTGGGTGGCGAGTTCCCCCAGGCCTTGCATGGGTCCAGAGGTGCTGTCTGTGAGTCAGGAACTAGGGTCAAAAACCTTAGAAGTCTGCCAGGTGTTCTGTTATACTGAGGCTGAGCCGGCACTCATACCACAGGATGCAGTCCTTCCCACTCCTCTCCCCTTGCCAAAATCAGAGGAGCCTCACTCTGTAGCCACAGCCACCACAGGTCACGGGGAGTACTGCCAGACTACCCCCAATGTCCCCTTAAGGCCCAAGGGCTCTTCAGTCAGCTTGTGGTAAATGCTGCCTGGCCAGAGACTCACCCTTCAGGGCAGTGGGCCCCCTTCTGGCCCAGGGCAGGTCTAGAGATGCTGTCCAAGAGTCAAATCCTATAATCCGGTACCATCCAGTGCCTGCTTGGTGCTATACCCCTCTGTGGCTGTGCTGGTACCTAAGGTGCAAGACAAAGTTCCCTTCACTTTCCCCCCTGCTTTTCTCAAGCAGAAGGAGCTTCGCACCTAGCCACCACGGGTGGCAATGTACCGAGTCTCACCTGAAGCCAGCAATTCTCAGAGGCTCACCTTTGATGTAGTAACTGTGTATCACTTCTGGTTATTCAGGGCCCAAGGGCTCTTCAGTTAGCAGGTGATGAGTGTTGGTAGGACTGGGTCCTTCCCTTCAAGGCCGTGGATTCCCTTGTGGCCTAGGGCGTGTCTGGAAATGGGTCCAGGAGCTAGGGCCTGGAATAGGGCCCTCACGACTCTGACAGTTGCCCTATCCTGTTGTTGCTTAGCTGATATCCAAGATGCAAGACAAAGTCCTCCCCACTCTGCCCTCTCCTCACGTGGAAGGAAGGGATCTGTTTGGGAGCAGTGGCTGTACAACCTGGGGTGAGGGGAGAGCAATGCCAGCACTCCCTTAGCCACCCCAGCTGGTGTCTCAGTAGGTTGTGTGACCCTCGCCCTCAGCCCACCATCTCTGGGCCCAGTTCGGTACTAGGGCTCACCGGTTAGTTGCAGTCTTTATGGCTTAGACTGCCTTTCAAGCTTATTTAGAGCACAAAGCACTTTAGCCTGCAGGGGCAGGGTTTATGGGATCGATTACTCTCATCTGGCTAGGGCTGGTTTAAATGCTTCCTCTGCCGACGGGCATCAGCTGAGTTTCGTCCTGTTTCTGGTGTTCCTTTCTGCTCTAACAGGACAGCACTGAGTTCAGCACCTCACAGTTGCGGTGCTCTCCCGCTTCCAGCACCCAGAGATGCTCTCCACACCACACCACTGCTTCTGCGGTGTCGGGGAGGGGTGGTGTCAGCAATTTAGGACTGTTTTTTCTATCTCTTCAGTGACTCAGCAATACGGCATTAAAATCGGGTACTATGAGGGCTCACCTGATTTTTGATTCTTATGAAGGTGTTTTTTCTGTGTAGATAGTTGTTAAATTGGTGTCCTTGAAGGGAAGGGGGATGATTGGTGGAGCCTTATAGTCCACCATCGTGCTCTGCATCCCTTGATGATACTCTATACCACATATTCTTTATTCACTCATCTGTTGATGGACATTTAGGTTGATTCCATTACTTTGCTAGTATGAATTGTGCTGTGGTAAACATATGAGTGCAGGTGTCTTTTTTATATGATTTGTTTCCCTTTAGGAAGATACCCAGGAATAGGATCACTGGATTGAATGGTAGTTTTATTTTTAGCTCTTTGAGAAATCTCCATACTGTTTTCCATAGCGGTTGTACTAATTTCCATTACCACCAACAGTGTATAAGCATTCCCTTTTCTCTACCTCCTCACCAACATCTGTTGTTTTTTAATTACTACATCCTCACCAACATCTGTTGTTTTTTAATTATTTAATAATAGCCATTCTGACTGGTGTAAGATGGAATCTCATTGTGGTTTTAGTTTGGATTTCTTTGATGATTATTGATGTTGAACATTTTTTCATATGTTTGTTGGCTGCTTATATGTCTTCTTTTGAAAACTATCTGTTCATGTCTTTAGCTCGCTTCTTGATGGAGTTACTTGTTTTTTTCTTGTTGAGTTCTTTGAGTTCCTTTTAGATCCTGGATATTAGTTCTTTATTGGGTGCATAGTTTGCAGATATTTTCTCCCATTCTGTAAGTTTTCTATTTAATCTGTTAATTATTTATTTTGCTGTATAGAATCTTTTTCATTTGAGTCCCATTTGTCTGTTTTTACTTTTGTTATCTGTGCTTTTGCAGTCTTAGTCATAAATTCTTTACCTAGGCCAATGTCTAGAAAAGTTTTTTCTAGGTTTTCTTCTAGGCTTTTTATAGTTAGATCTTAGTTAATTTTTGTTTTTAGTGAGAGATATGGGTCCAGTGTCATTATTCTGTATGTGACTATCTGATTTTCCCAGCAGTATTTATTGAATAGATTGTCCTTTCCCCAGTATATACTTTTGTCAACTTTGTCAAAGATCTGTTAGTTGTACATATGTGGCTTGCTTTCTGATTGATTTATGTGTGTATTTTTATACCAGTACAGGCTGTTTTGGTTATTGTAGCCTTGTAGTATAATTTGAAGTCAGATAATGTGGTACCTCTTGCTTTATTCTTTTTGCTTAGGATTGCTTTGGGTATTCTGCCTCTTTTTTGGTTCAATATGAATTTTAGAACAGTTTTTTCTAATTCTGTGAAAAATGACATTAGTAGTTTGATAGGAATAGTGTTGAATCTGTAAATTGCTTTGGACAGTATGGTCTTTTTAACCATATTGATTCTTTCAATCCTTGAGTTTGTTTTTCCATTTGTTTGTGTCATCTATGACTTCTTTCATCAGTGTTTTATAGTTCTTCTTGTAGACATCTTTCAACTCATGGGCTAAATGTATTTCTAGATATTTTATTTTCTTGTAGTTATTGTAAATGAGATTGAGCTCTTGATTGGTTCTCTGCTTGTTATTGATGTATAGAAATGCTCATTTTTGTACATTGATTTTGTATCCTGAACTTTACTGAAGTTATTTATCAAATCTAGGACCCTTTTGGAGGACCATTTTGGAGGAGTTTTCTAGGTGTAAGATCAAAAAGAGATAATTTGACTTCCTCTTTTCCAGTTTGGATGCTTTTTATTTATTTCTCTTCTCTGATTGCTGTAGCTAGGACTCCCAATAAGATGTTGAATAGGAGTGGTTGAAAGCAGGCATCCTTGTTCTATTCTCATTCTCAGGAGTGTTTTCAAGTTTTCCCCATTCAGTGTGGTGTTGACTCTGGGTTTGCCATATGTGGCTTTGATTATTTTGAGGTGTATTTTTTCTATGTCTAGTTTATTGAAGGTTTATGCTGGATTTTATTGAATGCTTTTTCTGCATCTATTGAGATGATCATATGGTTTTTGTTTTTAATTCTGTTTATGTAGTGAATCACATTTATTGATTTGCATATATTCTTGCATCCCTGGAATAAAACCCACTTGATCATGGTATGTTATCTTTATCTTGTGCTGTTGGATTTGGTTTACTGATACTTTGTTGAGGATTTTTACATCTGTGTTCATCAGGGATATTGGCCTGTAGTTTTTTGTTTTGTTTTGGGTTGTTTCCTTGCCTGGTTTTGGTTTTAGGGTAATGCTGCCCTTGTAGAATGAGTTACGGAGGATTCCCTCTTCCTGAAATGTTTTGGAACAGTTTCAGTAGGATTAGTGCCAGTTATTTATATGTCTCATGGAATTTGTGAATCTGCCTGGTTCTGGGGTTTTTGGGTTTGTTTGTTTCGAGGTTTTTTATTACTGATTCAATTTTGGAACTCATTGTTGGTGGGTTCTGTATTTCTGTTTTTTTCCTCATTCAATCTTGGGAGGTTGTACATTTCCAGAAATTTATATATTTCCTCTAGGTTTTCTAGTTTGTATGCATAGAAGTGCTCATAGTAGTCTCCGATGATATTTTGTATTTCTGTGGTATCAGTTGTAACGTCTCCTTTTCCATTTCTGATTACACGTATTTGAATCTTATATTTTGTTCTTGGTTAATCTAGCTAGTGGTCTTTCAGCTTTATTTATCTTTTCAAAGAATCAATCTTTTATTTGTCAATAGACACAGGAAGAGCATTTGATAAAATTCAAAATCTCTTCATAATAAAAACTTTCAGCACAGTAGGCATAGAAAAACTCAACATAATAAATGCCATATATGACTTACCCACAGCTAACAACATACCGAATAGGGAAGAGTTGAAAGCCTTTCCACAAAAAAAAAAAAAAAAAAAAAAAAAAAAAAAAAAAAAACTGTAACAAGACAGGGATGCCCATTTTCACTACTCGTATTCAACATGGTACTGGAAGTCCTAACCAGAGCCATCAGGTAAGAGAAACAAATAAAAGACATCCAAATTGGGAAAGAAGTCAGATTGTCCCTCTTAGTTGATGATATGATTTTATATCTAGAAAAAAACTAAAGACTACACCAATGAAACTCTTACATCTGATAAATAAATTTGGTAAAGTTACAGGACACAAAATCAACATACAAAAATCAGTAGTCTTTCTATACACCAATGGTGAAATCGCTAAGAAGAAAATGAAGAAGGCAATCCCACTTACAATAGCTACCAAAAAAATTACTCAGGATTAAATCTAACCAAGGAGGTGCAAGATCTCTACAAGGATAGTTATAACATCATTTTTCACAGAAATAGAAAAAAGAATTCCAAAATTTGTATGGAACCAAAAAAAGAGCCCATATACCCAGAGCAATCCTGAGCAAAAAGAACAAAGCTAGAGACATCACACTACCTGACTTCAAAATATATTATAACGCTATAGTAACAAAAATGGCATGGTATTGGTATAAACACATACATAGACCAACAGAGCAGAATAGGGAGTCCAAATATAAATCCATGTATTTATAGCCAACTGATTTTCGACAAAGGCATCAAGAACATACATGGGAAAAGGACACTCTCCTTAATAAATTGTGCTGGCAAAATTGGAGTCCGTATATAGAAGAATGAAACTGAATCCCTGTCTCTCACCATGTACAAAAATCAACTCAAGATGGATTAAAGACTTAAATGTAAGACTTGAATCTGTAAAACTACTGGAAGAAAAAATAGGGAAAATACTTTAGGACATTGGTCTATGCAAAGATTTTGTGGTGAAGACCTGAAAAGCAGATAACAAAACCAAAAATAGACAGCTGGGACTATATTAAGCTTAAAAGCTTCCACACAGCAAAAGGAACAACAGAGTGAAGAGACAACCTGTTAAATGGGAGAAAATATTTTCAAACTATTCATCCAACAAGAGACTAATATTCAGAATATACAAGGAATTCAACTCAATAATAAAAAAATCAATTAAAAAGACATTTCTCAAAAGAAGACATATTGATGACCAACAAGTATGTGGAAAAATGTTCAACGTCACTAATCACCAGGGAAATGCAAATCAAGACCACATGAGATATCCTCTTCCCTCAGTTATAATGGCCATGAATAAAAAGACAAAAAATAACAGATATTGGTGAGGATGCAGAGAAAAGGAAGCTCTTATACACTGTTGGTGGGACTGTAAATTAGTACAGCCACTATGAAAAACAGTATGGAGATTTCTCAAAAAACTAAAACTAGAACTACCATATGATCCAGCCATCCCACTACCTGATATTTATCCAAAGGAAAGGTAATCAGTATATCAAAAGGATACCTGCATGTTGTATGTTGATTGCAGTACGTTTCACAATAGCTGATATGGAATCAATCTAAGTGTCCATCAGTGGGAAATACGATAATATAAATGTGGAATACTCTTAGTCTACAAAAAAGTGAAATCCTGTCATTTGCAGCGACATGGATGGAACTGGAGGTTAGTATGTTAAGTGAAATAAGTCAGACACAGAAAGACAAATATCACATGTTATCTAAGAAAGTTGATCTTATAGAGGTAGAGAATAGAGTGATAGATATCAGAGCCTGGGAAGGGTGTGTGGTTAGGAGTGGGGGATAGAGGGAGATTGGTCAATGGGTACAAACCTACAGTTAGATAAAAGGTGTAAGTTTTAATGTTTGATAGCAGAGCAGGGTGACTATAATTAGCAATAACGTGTATTTCAAAGTACCTGGAAGAGAGAACTTGAAATGTTCCCAACCCATAGAAATGATAAATACTCAAGGAGATAGATACCCCAAATACTCCGATTTGATCATTACATATTCTGTACATTCAACAAAATCTCACGTGTACCCCATAAATATGTAAAATATTATGAATCAATAAAAACTGTGCCTCGGACTCTGAAATGCCTCTTTGGTTTGGTCTCCAGTTAAAAAAATGCATTATTTTTCAAACTTTATAGTTTATCAAAACTAATGGAATTCATGTACTTTACAGCTTAATGGACTCATAATGCATGATTACATAACTTCAGAACCCATTTTGTTAAATGAAGTGGTGACATTTTATGCACTATTAAGCCAACTAGAATAATTTTCTTGCTCTTAGCCATAACTTCACTGTGTCCTTATTGAAAAAATTCTGGGATGTGTTGTAGAAGGTTTTGATAGAAGAGAGTGTTTCTAAAGATACGTGAAAGCAGGGCCTTTTTCCATTATTCCATCAAGAAAAGTAAGACAGACAAAACTCATGAAATGAGAAAGTGGTTGAAATGCCCTAGTTTGTGTTATAATGCTTTAAATTATATTTATTTCATAATAGTTCTATTGGGAAAGGGAATTTTAAAATTACTGCCTTAAAAGGTCTTACCAGTTATAAGAGCATGCATATGTGTGTGTATAAAATAAAACATTAAGAACTATACTTTCAGCATTTCATATTTTTGTCATCTTATGTATTTAAAGCAGTTCAGGAAGATAACTCTTGTGTTTTTACAATATGAACAATTTTATTTCTAATACTCTTTATGCGATAAACTGCCTAAAAGACTAGAAAAGTAGTTTGCTGAGTCCTAGAGGGATAACTATAATATGAAACTAACCTGTATTATATAAGGTACTGTCCTGGGCCTTGACAGTACCTTATATAATACAGGTTAGTTTTATATTATATGTTGACAATTTCCCCCCGTTCCTTGCTTTGCAAATCTACTCGAAATTATATAACTTCCCTCCCTAACCCCTGCTGAATATATGTGAATTATAAAAAGTAGAAGCTAGCCAACAACAACAACAAAAGGCCATAAAAAAGTATCAATGATTCCACCCACTCACAGCTACTGTTATTGACACTTTGGTGTAAACTCCTACATATATCACATTTTTTCCCACAAAAATATTTTTTTCACTCTGCTTTTTTCATTTAACACATTCCTCTGTCACTACATACATATCTGAATGGCTGCATTTTGTTGTATGTGTTCACTCTATTTACACTGTTCTCCAACATGTATCACTTAGGCTGTTTCCAATTTTGTTTCTATTAAAACAGAATTGGTATAAACAACCTTATAGCTAAATTTCCATTCCTTTATTCAACAAATACTCATTAGGTACCTATTGTATGTCAGTCACTGTATTTGGCTTTGAGTTACAACAGTAAGCACTACTGTTAGAGTGATTACTCATGTGGAATGTGCAGGAGAGTGGATATTAATCAAATAATTGTACTGCTGTTTATGTAGTTTATAACTGAAATGGATACTGTGAAAGAAAGGAATAATGTACTGTGCGAGAATAAGGCAAAGGACCCTGATGGGCTGGGGAAGACATTATTGAGGAAATGCTATTTGAGCTGTTGGTCAACTAGTTGAAAGAGGTTGAAGGGGCCACAGGGGAAGGTGTTAGAGAGAGAGAGATTATTCCAGACAGAGTAGACATTACTGTGTAAAGTCCCCATGACAGAAGGGATTATGGAATGTTTAAGGAACTAAAAGAAAGGCAGTGTGGCCTAAGCACTGAAAGCAGTGGTATAAAACATAACTGGAGAGGTATCCAGAGGCCAGACCAAGCAGAGCCTTATAAGCCATGTTACAGATTTTAGTTTTTATCCCAAGAATGATAGGATACTGCTTAAGGGTTTTAAGCTGGAAGGGAAATCTGATTGCAGGGTGAACTTACTAGATAAGGACAAAGTAGATGCAGGGAGATCAGTTAGGAGATTGTTGCAGTGGTTTACGCGATAATTGATGATAGCTCAGATGAGGTTTATGGTTAGAAATGGAAAGAAATAGATTCAAGAGATTTTTAGGAGATAAAATTGATTCAACTTAGAGCATATTTATAAGGGTTTTTTTTTAGCATAAATTCCCAGAAGTAGAATTATTGACACAAAGGGCAAAATTATTTTAAAAGCTTGTAATATATAGCAAATTGCTCTCCAGAAAGATTATTTCAGTGTATTCTCCATCAACAGTGTATTAGAGTGCTCATTTTCATATGCCCTCAGCAGTAATAAGCAGTATCTTTTTTTTTTTTTACTTTTTTCTTTTTCAGTGTTTTTTGGGTATGTTTTATTCTTTTTAATACCTTTTCCAGAAATCAAGTTATGATTTTAATGTTTAAATGGGGATTGTTTTGCCAATCATAATAATGTAGTAGTTTTAGAATATATATGTATTGGTCTACTTAGTTTGGTATTAGAAAATGTGGTTTTTATTCTTAATATTCTGCCTTTAAAGCTGAAAGTAAAGCAAAAGAATTTAATGGGAATGTTGCCTCAGGAACATGGTACAAAGAAAAAAATGTGAGATGGATTTAGATCAGATTAAGTATTATTGGAAAATTGCATTTGTGAGGAAATTTTCAGTAACTCAACTTTGTTTGATATAGTCAATACCAAGCCCTCTGCTTTCCTAAAAGGAGTATTGCAACTCAGCTCTACCATGAGTTTAGACTTGGGACTCCAAAGTGTTTTAAATAAAAAACTGACAAATAGCCAAAATGTATATAAATTTTCTACTACAAAAATGGAAATATGGAAATTTTTTTTGAATTTTCTGTAGTGTTTTGGTAGCTTAATAAATAAATGTATAGTACATGTCCCTTCATGACCACTAAATTACTTTTTTAACAATATGAGAGTGGCTAAAATTGAAAGTAAGACATTTAAGAGAAATGAATAACTTTTTTAAAGTAATTGAAATAATTTTTCTCTAAAATATTTTGATTTTGAAAGATATTAGCCTTAGATTCAGAATAAAAGTTATATTTGTAATGTTTTCATGTATTTCTCAAATATATAAATTCTACGTTATTGAATTATGGTTATGTTTGAAATGACATGTTATTCACTGCTTTGTTTTCTCTCTTTCAATAGTTAAAAGATGTTGATACTCGGAAAATCATAAAAGCAATGCTTTCTTATGTGTGGCCCAAAGACAGGCCAGATCTACGAGCTAGAGTTGCCATTTCGCTGGGATTTTTGGGTGGTGCAAAGGTAAGAAATTATGCATTGTTTGGTTGCTCTAACTAAGAAATACTACATTTTCTAGTTATGAATCCTGGGCCTGGTGTAAATCACTTTTGGGGTAGCATGACCAACTTTTAGGACCCTCATTTAGTTTACATAATTATTTTATGCAGTCATTAGAAATTATATGGTAATGTCCTGTTTATCTCTGGATCAGACTTCTCACAGAATTAGTGGAATTCACTCCTTGAAACCGTTGTGAGATATAGGAGCATTGATTGTAACAAAGCATAAGCACCTTTGTAAAAGAAGCTTTTCGGAGCCTCTTTGGCTCCGAAATAATACATATTTTTGGTAAGCTTGGTTCCCAGATCCCAGTAAATTGAAAAGAGGATGAAGCCATTTTAGGAACACTGATAGCCATAAGTAATAAGCAACAGCTTAATATCAAGAGAAAAGCTAAAAAAACAAAACAAAACAAAAGCCACAAAACCTGACTGTTTTGGTACGTTCAGTATAGGAGCCCTCTGCATTTCAGCAGCCTTCTCAGTTTGTCATTGTACTATATAAGGCAAAGTTATAATGATGACCTCGAGTTTTCAAGAAAATAAAAACCTTGTTTCAAATTTACTCAGATTTTTTTTTCTTTTTTTTTTTTTTGATACAGAGTCTCACTCTGTTGCCCAGACTGGAGTACAGTGGCACAATCTTGGCTCACTGCAATCTCTGCCTCCCGGGTTCAAGCAATTCTCCTGCCTCAGCCTCCCGAGTAGCTGGGATTATAGGCGTGCGCCACCATGCCCAGCTAATTTTTGTATTTTTAGTAGAGATGGGGTTTCACCATGTTGACCAGGCTGGTCTCTAACTCCTGACCCCAGGTGATCCACCCGCCTCGACCTCCCAAAGTGCTGGGATTACAGGCATGAGCCACCGCACCCAGCCCCCAATTTACTCAGATTTTAAAGTCAGGGAAGTACACGTTTGTAGGTATACTATATTGTCATGATGAAGTCTCTGAAATCAGACTGCTTGGGCTTTGCCACCTTGTAACCTTAAGCAAGTTGTTTAGTCTGTGTGCCTCAGTTTGTCCATTTGTAAAATAGGGTTGCTATAAAGATTAAATAAGTTAACATACAAAGGACTTATAACAGTGCCTGGCAGGTAGTAAAATACAAGTATTAAAAATAAATAAATTTAGATTTCCAAAAATAATGGTAAAAAGTGTTTGCTTAAAATGAGCATAAAGGAGGTTTGGCTATGATTTGGCTACCACTCTTATATATAAGGATTAAGATTTTATTTTAGAACCCAGTTCTTACCACTTATTTTTTCCCTATATTATGTATACTCTCCTTTATTTGCTTATTCTTTTCCCTACCCTAAAAATATTAATTGAGAACTTATACACACTACTGTTCTTGGCATTGCAGAGTGTTCAGATATGAACAAAGCAAATTTCTTTCCTCAAACCATATGGGATAAGGCAAGCTTTATTTTATTGCCCTAATAAAAGGTAGGTCATAAATGATTTAAAGAAGTGCCAGTCGGGTGTTGTGGGGTTTCAGAAGAAAGTTAGGAACCACCATCATGGGGAGTTAGGAAAGGTTTCACAGAGGAGATGACATCTGAGATAGACCTTGATTGATGAGTAGGATTATTACAGGTGTAGGAATAACATGAAAAATGGCCTAGTTGTGAGAGAGCATAGTATGTGTACAGAAGTGAGTAGTCTATCCTGGTTCCAGCGAGGGGAAGATGTTTCAGAGAATTCGGAAATAAGCTTGGAAAGACAGATTAGAGCTCGTAAATGTGAAATATTGTGACTGTGAGACAGAAAAATGTATTTAATTATGTGGGAAGTGGGAACCTGTATTTTGAATAGATGAGTAATAAGGTTAGAACTGTGTTTTAGGAAATTAATCTGGCCATGTGTAAAAGATGAATTCAAGTGGTGATAGACCTAAAGTAGGGATACCATTTATTTCACACATTCATTCAGCAAATGTTTACTGACCAGTTATAAGGCTCATATGATAGTCTAGATAAGAAGTAATAGCAATTTGTACTGAAATAGTAGTAGAAATTGCAACATGGAGGAAAATACAAGAGATACTGTGCAGTAGGGGAGATAGAGTCAACAATACTTAGCAATGGGTCAACTGTTAGAAGTTAAAAAAAAAAAAAGTAGGATTCCAGGATGAGAGAATAAGAATGCCTTTAACAAAAGTGGGTATAATCAGAAGGTCTTGTTTGGGGAAAATGAAGATCTTGGTTTTGGACATGTTAAGTTTTAGGTACTAGCAGAACACCCAGATAGAGATATTCAGCTGGTAATACAAAATGTGAAACAAGCTCAGGAAGGAGCCCAGGTCTAGAGAGATTGAGATGACAGTTGAAACAATGCAAATTAGTGAGTTCACCAAGGAAAAGAACACAAATAGAAGGAAATAGAAGACAACTAGGGACAGTACCTTTGATTAATGTGTTCCTCTAGGGAAGTAAATAGAGGAAACTGAGAAGGAGTGACTGTACAGTTAAGAGAAAAGCCAAAATAATTCACAATCAGACTCCATTTTCATGTCTCCTTTCTCATCTGTAATCTCTGTTGAGTACTCTCCCGGGGATCTCACCCATTCTTGGGAAAGAGTACTTACTTAAATCAAGATGCTGTGCAACAGGTCAAGAAAGCATTTTTTGTTACATTTGTTTAAGCTGAACAGAGAGAACAATATTACAAATGTAATTTTAGTACGTATTGTTGAAAAATTTTAACCCTCGTGCATTTTTAGCATAGTATTGTTTGCTGAATTGTCTTTTACATACAAATTACCTAAGGATAAATATGATTCTGAGCTCATATGCTCCTTTGTTAGTTGAATGCAAGTACTTTGCTGACAAGTTAAAGGCAGATTGTTTTCTAGACTTTCTTTTTAATTGAAGAGAACAGGTTAGAACATGACTAATTAAGCTAGTCAAAGTGGAGAGTCTTAAGTAATGGCATTTGTATTAGAATTTATTTTTAGAGTGAGTTCCAGTCCTTCAAAATACAGATTTCTGTTGCTTAGTGACAGGTCAATATCAGGGTATGAAATCTAGATCTAAACTAACTTCCTTAATGACTAAAATATTTTTAGAAGGTTAATATTTGATTCTTTAATCAACAACTACTGAGTGCCCATAAGATGGAAAATGCTATACTAAACTCATGTAAACTGATTGCAGATAAGCAGAAGTGAATATAGAAAATCCTCAAAAAGAATGTTTGATTTCTTTTGAATCAGGAGAAGGAAGAAATTGCCAGATGTTATGATGAGTGCCTGCTAGTACTTTCAAAGCATATAGAAAACAATTTTCTTTTTACAAAACAGAAACTAGATCATAGAATAACTTTAAGCATGTAGAACATAGTAGTAGCATTTGACCATTCCAAAAAGCATTTGCACAGCTTTGCGGAGTGTCCGTTTAAAAGTGCTTGCTCTTGCAAATATTTAAAAAGTGATCATTGTTTATTCTTGAGTAGTATTGCAGGTGTGTTTTATAATTGGTGTGAAAGATGGATTGTTATCCCCTTTTATCCTTGGCTTCCTATTTTTCATCAAACCTGAATATATGCTTTGGCATATAAACACCTCGGATCAATCTAGGCCTCTTTATATTCTGATCTTTCCTACCTCCTCCACATATTCTGGGGATTTTAGTGCAGTGTTCAAGAATCTTCTCAGCTCTAAATGCCACCCTGCCATCTGCATGGCTGTAGTGGTATCATAACTAGGCACGAAACATAGATGAGAAAGAAGAAAGAAAGGATTGTCAAGTAAGAAGAAGAAAACAGGAGGAAGATTTTGTGCCTAATGTATGAGAACATAGCATACCTTCTGCTTGCTTATTTACTTTTTAATGCTCTTTTGATTCTGAGGGTCTTAAGGCTATCATTGTCTCCAGCAAAAATTTTAAAGACAAATGATATTATGTAGAGATGATTTGGAGCCCAGAGTAGACTAAGAGAGGGGATTGGTATTTCTTCTAGCAGAGTTGCAGCAATTCTATTTTAATATGTTTGGGTTCTATATAAGATGTATTTTAGCGGTTCTACTACCAAGAGAGACAAAAACAAAGTGCCATTTGTATTCATTCCTTAAATCCCTACAAATCATATGTAATGTATTTTTTTTACCATCTATACATATATCATAGGAGTATCATATCATTATTAATCTGGGGAATTTGAGGTCTTCTATGGGGTTTTTGTTTTTTTAAGATGGAGTTTCACTCTTGTTGCCCAGGCTGGAGTGCAGTGGCATGATCTCTGCTCACTGCAAACTCCGCCTCCCGGGTTCAAGCAATTCTCCTGTCTCAGCCTCCTGAGTAGCTGGGATTACAGGTGCATGCCACCATGCCCGTCTAATTTTTGTATTTTTAGTGGAGATGGGGTTTTATCATATTGGTCAGGCTGGTCTCAAACTCCTGACCTCAGGTGATCCGCCCGCCTCAGCCTCCCAGAGTGTTGGGATTACAGGCATGAGCCACCACTCCCGGCCAACCTAATTCAACTTTTCTATTAGTATTTTACATACAACCATGCCAGGATTTAAGGAAAATGTAAAACATATTTATTGAAGTCATTTGATTTTATAAAATGTATGTTACCTTTAGTATTACCAAAAAATGTTTATTCATATTCTCTAACCACTGCCATCTTGGAAACCACTTAGTCGACAGAAAAACTGGGGGCAAAGGAAGTTAAAGTATCAAGTGCAAAAATAAGCTATCTTTACAATTATAATAATTTCAAGGGAGAGTGATTTATAAAAATAAACACCCTTTTTCTTCAGAAATGCATCTGTTATATAAAGTATAACAGGTGATATATATATTGAGCAAGTATTTATTGAGTGACTAACAAATAATAAGATAGATATATATATATATATATATATATATATATATATGTATATAACAGAAACATCCAAAAGGAGAGACAAATGAAGCTGTAGGAGAGTACCAACAATTAAGCATATAGGGAAGGCTTTATGAAGGATTTAGTATTTTTGAATAACTATTTTGACATTTGTAACTTTAAAACATTTATGTACTTCTTCATTTTTTTGAAACTTTTCTGAAAAATATTTTTTAAAATGAGACAGTGCTACCTGATGCCTTTTTGAGAAGTATGAATTTTACCCTGGTATTATTATTATTATTATTAAAATACTATATCTTAGAGAAGTTTTAAGTTTACAGAAAAATTGAACAATAAGTACAAAGAGTTCTTATATATACCCCCTTTTTTTCTCCAGAATGCAGTTTCTTCTGTTATTAACATCTTGCATTAATGTGGTACATTTGCTAAAACTGATGAACCAATTATTTTGAAAAGATACATTATTATTAACCAAGTCCATAGTTTACATTAGGATTCACTTTTTGTATTGTACAGTTATATGGTTTTTGGGAAATGTATAATGTCGTGTATTCACCATTATGATATCATATAGAATAGTTTCCCTGCCCCCAAAATCCCATGTGATCCATCTACTCATCTGTCCTTCCTTCCTCCAGAATTCCTAACAACAGTGATCTTTTTACTAACTCTCTAGTTTTGCCTTTTCCAGAATGTCATATAGTTGGAACCATATGGTATGTAGCTTTTTCAGACTGGCTTCCTTCACTTCACAATATGTATTTCAAGATATTCATTGTGTGGGTGTGTGTTACCTGATAGCTCTTTTCTTTGTATCACTGAATAATATTTTGTTATATGGATGTACTATAGTGTGTTTATCCACTCACCTGTTGAAAGACATCTTGGTTTCCTTTAGATTTTGGCCGTCATTAATAAAGCTGCAGTAAACATTTGTGTGCAGGTTTTTGTGTGGCCATAAGTTTTCATCTCATTTGGGTAAATACCAAAGAACACAATTGCTGGATTGTCTTGTAAGACTATGTTTTGTTTTGTATGAAACTGCCAAATAACCTTTTATAGTTGGTATACCATTCTACATTCCTACAAGCAATGAATAAGAGTTCCTATTGCTCCACATCCTCACTAGCATTTGGTGTTATTGATATTTTAGATTTTAGCCATTCTAATAGGTGTGTGGTAGCATCTCACTTTTGTTCTAATTTACAAATGCCTAATGACATATGATGTTGAGCATCTTTTCATATGCTTTTTTTGTCATTTGTATATCTTCTTTGGTGAAGTGTCTGATCAGTTCTTTTGCCCATTTTTAAATTTGATTGTTTTCTTATTGTTGAGATTTAAGAGTTCTTTTGTAATTTTGGATACAAATACTTTATCAGTTAAGTCTTTTGCAAATACTTTGTCTCAGTCTGTGGCTTGTCATCTTATTCTCTTGACAGTGTCTTTTGTAAAGCAGAAGTTCTTAATATTAATGAAGTCCTACTTACCAGTCTTTCATGGATCATGTTTTTGGTGCTAAGTCATTGCCAAACCCAAGGTTACCTGGATTTTATCTTACGTTATCTTCTAGATGATTTATAGTTTCATCTTCTACATTTTGGTCTATGATCTATTTAGAGTTAATTTTTATGAAATATGTAAGGTCTGTGTTTGGATTCCTTTTTTTTTCCATTGGCATGTCCAGTTGCTCCAGCATCATTTATTGAAAAGGCTGTCTCTTTCCCATTGGGTTGCCTTTGCTCCTTTGTGAAAGATCAGTTGACTATATTTTTGTGAGTCCATTTTTGTGCTGTCTCTTCTATTTCCATTGATCTATTTGTCTATTTTTTGACCAGTACCATACTGTCAGGATTACTGTAGCTTCATAGAGTAAGTCTTATAGTCAGGTAGTGTCAGACCTCCAGTATTGTTTTCTTCTTCAGTATTCTGTTGGCTGTTTTGAGTTTTTTGCCTTTCTTTATAAACTTTAGGATCAGTTTGTCCATATCCACAAAATTACTTACTGGGATTTTGATTGGGGTCACATTGAATCTATAGATCAAGCTGGAGAAAACTGACATCTCAACAATATTGAGTCTTCCCATACATGAACATGGAGTATCTCTCCATTTATTTAGCTTCTTTGATTTCTTTCATATGAGTTTTGTAGTTTTCCTCATATGCTTTTTGCACACATTTGTTATATTTGTACTGAAGTATTTCATTTTTTGTTGTTAATTTAAATGGTGTTGTATTTTTTATTTCAAATTGCATATGTTCATTGGTGGTATGTGGGAAAGTAGTTGACTTTTGTATATGACCTTGTATGCTGCAACCTTGCTGTAATTGCTTTTTAGTTCTAGTAGGGTTTTTTGTTGATTTTTTTTTTTCAGATTTTCTGTATAGACAATTATATCACCTGCAAACAAAGACAGTTTTATTTTGTCCTTTGTAGAATGAATACCTTTATTTCCTTTTCTTATTGCATTAGCTATGACTTCTAGTACAGTGTTGAATATAATGTGATAAAAGAGGACATCCTTGCCTTGTTCACAGTTTAGTTTCCCACCATTAAGTATGTTGTTAACTTTAAGGTTTTTTATAGGTGTTTGTAATCAAGTTGAAGTTTTCCTCTATTCCTAGTTTGCTGGGAGTTTTTGTAATGAATAGGTGTTGGATTTTGTTAAATGATTTTTTTTCATCTGCCATCATTTGATTTTTCTTCTTTAGCTTGTTGATGTGATGGATTACATTAACTGATTTTCAAATGTTGAACCAGCTTTCCATACCCAGAATAAATTCCACTTGGTTATGTCGTGTAATTGTTTTTATACATTGTTGGGTATGATTTGGTAATATTTTGTTGAGGATTTTTGTATCTATATTCAGGAAAGAGGGTGGTCTGTAGTTTTCTTGTAATGTCTTTGGTTTTGATATTAGAATGGTGCTGTTTTCATGGAATGAGGAAGTATTCCCTCTACTTCTGTTTTCTGGAAGAAATTATAGAGAATTCACATCATTTCTTCTTTAAGTAGTTAGTAAAATTCACCAGTGAAACCATTTGGACCAGTGCTTTCTGTTTTGGAAGGTTATTAATTATTGAATCAATTTATTTAATAGATACAGACCAATTCAATTTATCAATGTATCTTCTATAGGAAGGGATCTTTTAAGGAATTTGTCCATTTCATCTAAGTTATCAAATTTGTTGGACTAGAGTTGCTCATACTATCCCTCAATTATCTTTTAATTTTCATAGAAACAGTACTGAAGGCCTGCCTTTCATTTCTGATGTTAGTAGTTTGTCTTCTTTCTTTTTTGCTTGATTAGCCTGACTAGAGACTTAGCAATTTTATTGCTCTTTTCCAAGAGGCAGCTTTTGGTTTTGTTGATTTCCTTTTTTCAATTTCATTGATTTCTGCCCCAATTTTTATTCTTCTGCTTACTTTGGATTTAATTTGCACTTTTTTTGCGCTTTTTTTTTTCTATTTTCCCAAGATGGAAACTTACATTATTCATCTTAGATCTTTCTTTTCTAATATTTGCATTCAGTGCTATAAATTTCTTTTTAAGTGCTGCTTTTGCTGCATCCCACAAATTCTGATACATTGTATCTTCATCTTTATTTAGTTCAAAATATTTTAAAATTTCTCTTTAGTCTTTGACCCATGTGTTATTTAAAAGCATGTTGTTTAATCATTGGGATATGCCTACCGTCATTCTGTTAGTGATTTCTAATTTAATTCCATTTTGCCTAGGGCATACTTCGTGCTATGTGTATTTTTAAAAATTTGTAAAGGTGTGTTTTATGGCCCAGGGTGTCATTTATCTCGGTGAATGATCTGTGCAAATTTGAAAAGAATGTGTATTCTGCTCTTGTTGGATGAAGTATCCTATAGGTGTCATTTAGATATAATAGAGGATGCATCTATTTTTCCTTGCCATTCTATCAGTTTTTGCCTCATGCATTTTGATATTTTGCTGTTAGGTGCATACACAATTAAGGATTGTTATATCTTTTTGGAGAATTAACCTCTTTATCATTATGTAATGCCCCTCTTTTATTCCTGGTTCCTGTTAATTTTCCTTGATCTGAAGTGTGCTTTATCTGAAATTAATATGGTTTCTACTCCAGCTTAGCTTTGATAAGGGTTAAGGTGGTGTATATTTCTTCATCCGTTTACATATAATTCATTATGTCTTGATATTTAAAATTGGGTCTGTAATTGGATCATCTTTTAAAAATCCATTCTGACAATCTGTTTTTTTTAATGCCATCAGATTCAGCCATGATGACAATCTGTGTTTTAATTGGTGTAGACTATTCACATTTAAAATGATTAACTGATATTGTTGGATTAATATTGACCATATGTGTAACTGTTTTCTGTTCATTTCCTTTCTTCTTTGGTTTTTGCTTTTATTTTACTTTTTCTTCAATCTTTTTCTTCCTTCTCTGGCTTTAATTAAACATTTTATATGATTTTGTTTTTTCTAATCATTTAACATTCCGATTATACTTTTTAATTTTTAAGTGGTTGCCATAGAGTTTGCATTATACATTTATAGGCAGTCTAATTCCACTTTAATATGACACTATTACTGCTTCATGGGGGTGGTACACATAACAGTACTCCCAATTCATTCCCCCTATCACTTACACACTGCTGTGATTCATTTCACCTATTTATAAGCTTTAATTACCAATACATTGTTGCTGTTATTATTTTGAAGAAACTTATCTGTTAGATGAATTAAGAATAAAGATAAATTATTTTATTTTACATTAATTTATTCCTTCTCTAACATTGCTTCCCAATTAAATGTAAATCTGAGGTTTTGACCAATATCATTTGCATTCTCTCTGGAAAACTTTATTTAAAAACAATTCTTGCAAGATCCATGTACTAGCAACAAATTTCCTCAATTTTTGCTTTTGTAGAGAGTGTATGTTTTTCCCTCACTTGTAAAGGACAGTTTCACTAGGTGCAGAATTCTAGGTTGGTGGATTGGTTTTTTTCAACAGTTTAAATATTTCATTCCACTCTGTTCTTGCTTGCCTTCACTGTTATTTTTATTCTTGTTCCTTTATAGGTGATTCCCCTGGCTTCTTTTAAGATTATTTTTGTCTTTGATTTTTGTAGTTTGAATATGATATGCCAGGCTGTACCTTTTGGGAGTTTTTTTTTTGTTGTTGTTGTTGTTGTGTTTTTTTTTTTGTTTCTTTTGTTTTGTTTTTTCTACGTGGTGTCCTCTAAGCTTTCCTGGATCTGTGGTTTGGTGTTGTCATTAATTTTAGAAAATTCTTAGCCTTCATTATTTCAATTATTTTTCCTGTTCCTTTTCCCTTTTCCTTATGGTATTCCCATTATGTATACATATGTTACACCTTTTGTAATTCTCCCATATTTCTTGCATATTCTTTTCCCTTTTAAATTCATTTTGTTCTTTCATTTCACTTTGTGAAGTTTTCACTGACATACGTCTTCAAGCTCACTGATTCTTTTCTATTTTGTGTCCTGTCTACTGATGAGCCTATCAAAGACGTTCTTCATTTCTGTTAGAGTGTTTTTGATTTCTTGTACAACCTTTTGATTCTTTCTTAGAGATTCCTCTCTGTTTATATTACCCATCTTTTCTTGCATGCTGTCTGCTTTTTCCATTAGAGCCTTTGGCATTTTAAATTCCTGGTCTGATAATTCTAAAATCTCTGCCTTATCTGAGTCTGGTTCCGATGTTTACTTTGTCTATTCAGACTCTTCTTTGCCTTTTGGCATGCCTTGTAATTTTTTTTGAAAGCTAGACACAATGCATTAGATGATAAATATGCCTTTAATGTGAGATTTTATGTTTATCTGGCTAGGAGTTGGCTGTCTTTAGTGTTAGCTGTAGCTGTAGGTGTCAGAGGCTAGAATTTCCTCTAGAACCTGCTAAACGGGGGCTAGACAAATTTTAGGGGATAAGGCCATATGAACAAAAAATTTTAATGAATCAGGTTCACATATCATGTTACTTCTACTAGTTACATTGAGGTTGTTCATTAAATATCAGTGTGATCTACTTTTCCCCTCTAAATGTTTTATCTCCTAGAGGATTTAGATAAGAGGACTTATCTCTTTGATTAGATTAGTGGAGTTGAGACTGCAAGTCAATTGCTCTTTCATATTCTTTAATTTGCTTTCAGTTCTGTGTGCTTCAGCCATGAAATAAGGTAAAACAAGTTTGTTTTGTGGATATTATGATCTCTAGCTTTTAGATGTCTGTTATTGAAAATGACAATGACATATAGTCCCTTTCTATGTCATACCTTTCCATGTTTATACTTTCAAACTATCAGACTAGGTAAAAATGACATTTCTTACAAATATTACATTATGTAAAAGTCTTGCATATGGAGTCTTCTGCGTGTCTGTTATTCATATAGATTAGTCATAACTCTTGCTTTACTTTCTCAGGATCCATATTCAGCTATGTTGCAAGGATTGTATTAAATAGGCTGTTTTCTGTTGAGGTTACTCTTTGATGCCCAGAGCAAACTTTATATACAAGCCAGAAGTATTTTGTTTATACAATGGAAATCTTTAATGACATTTGCTTTGTTGCCTAGACCTAATTTTCATGAATTAATAATGTATACAATATAAAATAATTTTATTTGATCAACTTACATAACTGCTTTGTTGTTGTTTGATATTTTTCCTTTAATGAGAATAGAAACTTCAGTTCTGTGAGGATTCTACCACTACCCTGATAATCTTTTCAAATTGTCTGAGTACCCTTAATGCAGGCAAACCCCAAAATTGGGGCTCAGCCTGGGAGGGTTCTTGGCTTCGTGCAGGAAAGAATTTAAGAGTGAGCTGACAGCAAAGTGAAAGCAAGTTTATTAGAGCAACAGAGTACAGGAAAATGGTTGCTCCATAGACAGAGTAGTAGCAGCAGCCCTTTCAGCAGCAGTGGATTTCTGGCTAGCTATATGGCTATTCCTTGATTAGTTGTGAAATAAGGGGTGGGTTATTCATGAATTTCCTGGAAAAGGGATGAGGAGTTCCTGGAACTAAGGGTTCCTTCTCCTTTTAAGCCATATAAAGCAACTTCCAGGAGTTGCCATGGCATTTGTAAATGGTTCTGGTGGGAGTTGCTTTTAGAATGGTAATGCATTATAATTAGTGTATAATGAGCAATGAGGGCAACTAGAGGTTGTTTTCGTCACCATCTTGGATCTAGCTGGTTTTGGCTGGTTTCTTTGCTGCATTCTGTTTTTCTCAGATCCTGTTTGTTTAGTGGGGCCTCGTGACCAGTGCTTGGAAAATAATTCATGCCAATCTCCTACCTTACCTTGTCTGGTTTTCTTTTATCTTTGCTTTGCCTTGCTAATCAGATCTCTCTTTAGTGTTCCTGGTCTTTATTCTTTTTTCTCCTGATTCTTTTGTGAATAGAGAAGCAATTAAAGGAACAAAATTCTTTTTTACTTGTTTAGATATATTGGGCACTTCTTGGCAGCACTGCTCATAAAGCCCTTAGTTAACAGAGGCCACTCTGAAAGAGGTGAATTTATTAAGGAGTTTAGATATTAAAAAGTCTGAAAGAATTGGGTTCCTCAGATGACTAGTCATGATCATAATGGGAAAAGCGATAATTAAATCTAGAACTTGAGGTCCTCAGCAAACTGACTATATTGACCAGTAATTTTGGCACCATGTAGATATAGCATACTTTTGGTAGTCCTTTATGGCAATTTTACTTTTTACTTAACTCTCTTCTTCAGTTAGTGTCCCAAATTTTACAGTTTTGTGCTAAAAATTAAATGAATACCATTTTGTAATGATATACCAGTCTTTGATAATTCAGGAGCCTAGCAGATTATTTATATGATTTAAATTTTTGATCTAAGAAAGAAAAAATGTTTTATAAGTTCCTGAGGCTGGGCATGGTGGCTCATACCTGTAATCCCAGCACTTTGGGAGGCCGAGGCAGGCAGATCACTTGAGGCCAGGAGTTTGAGACCTTCCTGGCCAACATGGTGAAACCCTATCTCTACTAAAAATACAAAAATTAGCTGGGCGTGGTGGTTCGTGCCTGTAGTCCTAGCTACTCGGGAGGCTGAGGCATGAGAATCACTTGAACACAGGAGGCGATAGTTGCAGTGAGCCGAGATCATGCCACTGCACTCCAGCCTAGGCGACAGAGTGAGACTCCATCTCAAAAAAAAAAAAATATTTAAAGTTCCTTTATTTCTCGTGTACTTAGTGTGCACATTGCAGTCAGATTAAATATACCTTTTGTCACAAGATTACAATCTTGTAAATATAACCAGTTTCTTAATTTTTAAAAAGTAACAGGGGTATGAAACTTCATATTGGGTTGATTTTTATTGAAATACACTGTGATTCAGCCTTATTTTTAGACATTTCCTGCCCCCAGGGAGCCGGGTCTGTGGTGTGATGCTGGCTTTATTTATTTTAATTTTAATGTACATTCAATGGAGTGCACTCTTTTTAGTATACAGTTCCATAATTTTTAACACGTGTGTATTCATGTAATTACCACCACAGTCAGGATACAGACAAGTGCTATCACCCCAAAAATCTCCCTTTTGTTACCTCTTTATAGTCATACCCTTTCCAGACCCCTAGCTGCTGGGTAACATTGATTTGTCCTCTATCACTATAGTTTTCTCATTTTGAGAATGCCATATAAATGGAATCATGTAGTATATAACCTTTTGAGCTGATTTCTCACATTAAGCATGATGTCTTGGTCATTCATCCATGTTATTGGATATACCAGTTTGTTTCTTTTCATTGCCGAATAGTATTCCATGGTATGGATATAACAGAGTTTGTCCATTCACCCATTCAACAACATTGGGTTCTTTCCACTTTTTAGTGATTATAGATTATAACTAGAGCTGCTTTAAACATTCAGACACAGGTTTTTGTGTGAACCTGAGTTTCCATATCTCTAGAATAAACACTTAAGAGTGGAATGCTAGGTCATGCTAAACACATTTTTAACTCAATAAGAAACTGCCAAGCTGTTGTCCAGAGTAGTTCTTTTTGTATTCCCACAGCAGTATATGAAAGAGTTCCTGTTGCTTTGCTTCTTTGTCAACACTTGGTATTGTCAGGTGAATGGTGGTATCTTGTGGTTTTAATTTACATTTCTCTTAAGGCCTGGGATATTGAGCAGCATTGTGTGTATTTAGTTTACATTTGTATATCTTCCTTTTGTGAAGTGTCTGTTTAAGCATTTTGTCCATTTTTTAATTGGGCTGTATGTTTTTCCTCTCAACTTTAGTGAATTCTTTATATATTCTGATATGAAACCTTTACCAGATATATGATTTGCAGATATTTTCTCCCAGTCTGTAGCTTGTTTTTTAATCCCCTTAATAGTATTTTATGTAGAACAAATGTTTTTAATTTTGATAAATTTCAGTTTATTATTTTTTTCCTTTATGGATTATGCTTTTGTTGTCATGTCTAATAACTATTTGCCTAACTCAAGGTCATTAAGATTTTCTCTTTTGTTTTCTTCTAAAAGTTTTATATATTTTTCTCTTTTACATTTAGATTGTGCCACGTTTTTTAAAAAATATGTACTGAACTAAAGTGCTACAGTTTGAATTCTTATATGAGGTTTAGGTAGAAATTAAATTTTTTTCCAATTGTTCCAACACCAAATTGAATTTTTTTCCAGTTGTTCCAACACCAAGGCTATCCTTTCCCCATTCAATTTGCTTTGTTTCCTATTGCTGCTGTAACAGATTATCACAAAAATAGTAGCTGAAAACACCACAAATTTATTATCTTACATTTCTGGAGGTCAGAAATCCAAAATTAGGTTTCACTGGATCGAAATAAAGATATTTGGCATGGCTGTGCTCCCTCCAGAAACTCTTGAGGAAAATCTATTTCCTTGCCTTTTCCTGCTTCTAGAGTTCACCTACATTCCTTGGCTCAGGGCCTCTTATTCCATCTTCAGCATCAACAGCATGTTCAATCTATCTCTGACTCTGACCCTTCTGCTTTCCTTCGTCTCAACTTTGACTCTCCTACTTTCCTCTTATAAGTACTCCTGTAATTAGATTTGGCCCACCCACAAAATCAAGGATAAAGAACATAATCATGTTCTTCAGCTTAACCACATCTGCAAAGTTCATTTTGCTATGTAAAATATCATCTTTATAGGTTCTGGAAATTGGTACATGAATATCTTTGGGGAGCCATTATTCTTTCTACCATAATGATTATGTATGGGATGTTTTTCTGGAATCTATTCTGTTTCATTGATCTTTGTGTTTCTGCATTCACCAGTACCACACTATTTTTATATTTTATATATATATATATATTTGTAGTTTTATAGTAAGTTTTAAAGCCAAGTAGGATGATTCTTCCAACTTTCTTCCCTTCTTTTCAAAATTGTTTTTAGCTATTCCAGTTTTTTTTGCCTCTGCATATAAATTTTAGAATAAACTTTTCTATAGCTATTAAAGCTCTTCTATCAAAGAAGCCTGATGATGTTTTAAATAAAATTTTATTAAAAATGTAGACCAATTTGGGTAGAATTGACATCCTTACTAGGTCGTGTCTTCCATTGGATGAATGTAGTATGTTTCTCCATTTATTTAGCTTTTCTTTGATTTATTTCATCAGCATTGATAGCTTTCAGCATACAGACATGATACATGTTTGATTATACCAGTGGTTCCCAACCAGGGGTGATTTTGACTCCATGAGGACATTAGGCAATGTCTGGAGACATTTTTATAGGTCACAACTAGAGGGGGTGGGGTATGCTACTGGTGTGTATTGGGTAGAGGTTAAGGACACTGCTAAACATCATACAATGCACAGAATAGCTCTTCCCGCAAGAAATAATTATGGAACCCAAACTGTCAGTAGTGCTGGAGGTTGAGACCCTGAGTTAGATTTATACTTAAGAATTTTTTTTACTTGATGAGGGCAATGTCAATAATTTTCTTTTTTAAATTTTGGTTTCTAACTGTTCATCGCTAATATGTTGATATATTAATAATTATTGATTTTTGTTGATCATTGTAATATATTGATAATATTGCTATCATTTATATACTTGGATTTCAGTCTACCATTTTATTATGTGTTTTCTGATAAATTTATTTTGTTACTTGGTTTTACCTTTACTGTCACCTTTTATGTTATTTGAACAGATTTTACTATCCCATTTTAATTTATCTACTATGTGTTTTAGTTTATCTCTTTATATAATTTTGTAGTGGTTACTCTGGAAATTATACATAAGTAACTTTTCACAGTCTGCTTAGGATCAATATTTTACTACTTCAAATGAAATGTAAAAACTTACTACTCTGTAAGTTCCCTTACCTTCCCCCTTTATATTTACAATTGTTTCATATATCTTGATGTACTGTAAACCGCATCAGTCAGTAATCTTTTTTATTGCTCTATGGAATCTTTCTAGACAAATATAAATTTTGCTTTTAACCATCAAACATATTTTTAAAGAACTTAAAAATAGGTTATTATATTTACACAGATATTTACCATTTCCATTGCTCTTCCTTCATTCCTGATATTCCAGGTTTCCTTCTGCTTTCACTTCTTGTATGAAGAATTTTCTTTAGCAGTTCTTTTAAAGCAGGCCTTCTGGTAACTAATTCTCTTAGTTTTCCTTAATCTGAAAATGTCTTGATGTTACCTTCATTCACAAAGGCTAATTTTGCCCAGTGTACGGTACTAGGTTGACAGTTCTTTTCTTTCACCACTTGAAAAATGTTGTCCCACTTACTGCTGGCCTCTGTGGAAATCTGCTGTCTTAAGATTGTTTTTCCCTTATACATAACGTGTTTTTATCTAGCTGGTTTTAAGATTTTTTTTCTCTGTCTCTAGCTTTCATAAGTTTAATTATGATGTGTCTTGGTGTGAATTTCTTTGGGTTTATCCACATTTGGGTTACTCAGCTTCTTGAAATTATAGGTTTATGTCTTTTGCCGAATTTGGGAAAATTTCAGCCATTATTTCGTTGGTACTTTTTTGTGCCCCACACTCTTCTGCTATCCTTCTGGGACTCAATAAAGGATGGTAAGTGTTTTGTTACAGCTCCATAGGTCCCTGAGACTCTGTTGGCTTTTTTTTTTCTTTAGTCTATTTTCTCCCTGTTGTTAAGCTTAGGTAGCATCCCAACATCTGCTGTGTATTTTAATGATATTGTTGACTACTAGAACATCTGCTTGGTTGCTAAGACTCTTGTATACCTTACCTTGACATCTTGATTGGTAAGATTTATATAGCTTCTATCAGTTGTAGCTAAACTTAACAAAGATGGATGGCATAGTAATGGAACATTAACAAGCGCTGGGATTTCAGTGTTTTTATTAAGCCTGATAGAATTGTTTTCACATATTATTAATGTGCATCAATTTAATTTCTTCAGAAAAACTTTGGCAGTCTGACAAACTTCCTGTTCCTAAGAGATGGTTGATGTTTTTCATACTATAATTGCAGAAAATGCAGAATGTGAATGATTAAACATTTGCCTTGAATATATGAAAGCATTGTATTCCTAATTATTGTTCTATCTTCAAGTTCAATAATACTTGCCTCTGTCTTCTCCATTTTGCCATGGAGCCCATCCCTTGAGTTTTTATATGTCAGTTATTATATTTTTCAGTTCTGTATTTTTCATTTGGTTCTTTATATCCTTTATTTATTTCCTGAGTCTTCTATTTTTTCACTTATTTCAAGCATGTTCATAAATATTCCTGGAAGCACTTTTATGATGGCTACTCCGAAATCTTTCAGATAGGTGTAATGTTTGTGTCATCCTGATGTTAGTGTCTATTAATTGTATTGTCTTATTCAAATTGATATCTTATCTTATTGGTTCTTGATATGATTTTTTAAATTGAAACCTGGACATGTAGAGTATTATTAGACTCTGAATCTTATGTAAATCTTCTGTTTAGCAGGCCTCCTGTGTCACCACTTCAGTGGAGCAGGGGTGCTGCCTCATTACTGTGGGTGGAGATGAGAATCCAGGTTCCTACTTGGGCCTCTATTGGCTCCTGGCAGAAGAGATTCCTCATTACTGCTGAATGGAGTGAGAAGTTAGACTCCTGAGTAGAATAAAAGGCAGTAGACTGGGCGAAAATATTTGCAAACCACATATCCAACAAAGGCCTTATTCTTAGAATATATAAAGAACTCTTAAAACTCAACAGCAGAAAAACAAACAATCCAATTATAAAATGCATAAAAGACATGAACAGATATTTCACCAAAGAGACGATATAGATTGCAAATAAGCACATTAAAAAGTGCTCAACATCAGTGAGGTATCAATATGCACCTATTGGAACAGTTTTGAAATTTAAAAAAATGATAATACCAAATGTTTGTGAGGATGCAGAAGAACTGGGTCACTCATACTTTGCTGGTTATTGTAAAATGATACAGCAGGCCAGGCGTGGTGGCTCACACCTGTAATCCCAGCACTTTGGGAGGCCGAGGCAGGAGATCACTTGAGCCCAGGAGTTTGAGACCAGCCTGGCCAACATGGTGAAACCCCGTGTCTACCAAAAATAGAAAAATTAGCTGGGCCTGGTGGCGTGCAATTGTAGTCCCAGCTACTCAAGAGGCGAAGGCAGGAGAATCGCTTGAACCCGGGAGGTGGAGGTTGCACTGAGCCGAGATCATGCCACTGCACTCCTTCCTGGGCAACAGAGTGAGACTCTGTCTCAAAGATATAAAATAGAATGATACAGCAACTCTAGAAAGAGTGTGGCAGTTTCTTAGTAAGGTCAGCATAGAGATGCCATATGACTTAGCAATTGGACTCTTGGGTCTTTTCCCAGATGAATGGAAACTTATATCCATCTGTATGAGAATGTTGATAACATCTTTACTGATAGTAGCCTAAAGCTGGAAACAACCAAAATGTCCTTCGGGGTGACTGGTTGAATAAATTCTAGTACATCAATGGAATAATCCTTAGCAATAGCAAATGATGAGCTATCGATACATGCAACAGTCTTGATAAACTTTGAGCACGTTATGCTGAATAAAACAAAAGCTGATCCTAAAAGGTTATATATGATTCCATTTCTAGAATATTCTCAAGATGAGTAAACTGTAGAGATCAAGAGCAAATTAATTAGTAGTTGCCAGGGTAAAGGGACTGGGGTGAGGCAGGTAGAACGGGGGTGAATACAAAGTGGTGGCATAATGGATTTCTCTTGTGGTGATGGAATAGTTTTGTATGTTGATTGTGGTGCTGGTTACAGATCTGAACGTGCGGTAAAATTGCATAGAACCACACGGACAGACACATACGTACTACACACAGATACACATGAATACAAGCTAAAAGTTGGTGAAAACTGAATGAGTTCTCTAGTCCAGTAGTTAACGGTAATGTGCCGATGTTAACTTTCTGGTTTTGATACTGAACTACAGTGAAATAAAATGTCATTAGGAGATGCTGGGTGAAGGGTACGTGGGTCTCTTTGTACTACGTACTGTTTTGCAGCTATGAGTCTCATTATTTCAAAATAAAAAAGTTATTTTTTTTTAAAGATTCTCATTTGCCTGGAATGGTTTAAATCTAGTTCTGCTAAAGGCAGGATATTGGGGAAAACCACTATTTGCTAGTCCCATCCCCAAAATATCACAAAGCAAATAAAACTTAACACTACATGTTAATAAAAACATCTACATGTAGTATCCTTCTTATTTCTTTGGTGTATTTCTTTCGTTTTTAACATATATGGCATATTTCTTACCTTTTTAAAATAATTTTTATGGGAAAACTGACAGTATTCAGTTATTATTAGAGGTAGCGCCATACTCTTTGCATGTGCTAACTGCCCTTTTTCTGCCACTAACAACACAATGCAGATGACACTCACACGTCCTGAACACTTACAAGGATGTTCTCTAGTTTGACCAAATCCAAAAACATTTTCAAGGAAGTAAAATTGCACAACTTTATTGGTGATACATTAGTTTTAGGCGTCATTCACTACAGCTTTGGAAAAGGTATAATGGGCTGTGAGTTATGAGAATTGCATGCTAGCTGTAACTATCACTTTTTCTCCTACTGAAGAAAGTGTATTGGATTGCAGGTGAGGGACTGTATCCTTAAATGGAAAACCTGGAATCTGCTCAAATTTATTTAAATTACTTTTGATATACTTTACAGCTATAGCTGGTTTAAACAGTGCATTTGAGAGCATCCATTTTAGGGTGCAAAATAAGTGAAATATATTGTCCCTGCCTTATAAGCTGCTAATGTGGCTATGGTATACTAGAAAAAATTCTAACTTCAAGTGTCAGACCTGTATTTTAATCTCAGCTCTGCTGCTTACCAGACAAGTCATTAAACCTTGTGGAACCTGAGGTTCCTCAACTATACAGATAAAATCTATTTTGTAAAATTTTTATTCCTTTCATCCCTCACATTTGTGAAAGGTACCTACCTTTCACCATACCTGATTCATCTAGCTGTTGTTCAGTAAATGTCAGTTTTGTCACAAAAGGTTTGTACATTATTTGGGTGATAGATACACTAAAATCCCAGACCTCACCAGTATGCGATATATCCATGTAACAGGACTGCACTTGTACCCCTCAAATTTATGCAAAAAGGATGGAAATATATCCATGCATATATACATACAAAATGAATCAGAAATATATCATAAAAGTGATAAATATTGAGGTATAAACTATAACAAAAAGATAGAAAATGGAGAGTGCCAAATTGGCTGCATGTTTCAGAGAAGGCATTATGGTAGAAATGGGATTAAAATTGGGCTTTGAAGAGTGACGAGGTAGATAGGGGAGAGGAGACCATTTCAAGAAGAAGCAAGACCTGTAATCTCAGCACTTTGGGAGGCCGAGGCGGGCGGATCACAAGGTCAGGAGTTTGAGACCAACCTGACCAACATGGTGAAACCCTGTCTCTACTAAAAATACAAAAATTAGCTGGGTGTGGTGGTGCATGCCTGTAATCTCAGCTACTCAGGTGGCTGAGGCAGAAGAATCGCTTGAACCCAGGAGGCGGAGTTTGCAGTGAGCCGAGATTTCCCCACTGCACTCCAGCCTGGGTGACAGAGTGAGACTCCATCTCAAAAAAAAAAAAAAAGCAAAGAAGAAGCAAGAACCTAAGGTTATATGGCTACAGGGGAATCAGATTTGAGAAATTTATGCTATTTGAGACCTGCCATATATTCTATTAGATTTTGGAAGTCAGAAAGCTTAATGTTTAAGCACTTTATCTCATGTTACATTCTTAAAAGCATCCCAACATGTGCTGTGTATTTTAATGATATTGTCGAATACTAGAATGCCTGCTTGGTTGGTAAGACTCTTGTATACGTTACCTTGGAATCTTGATAAGAGTTACATAGCTTCTATCAGTTATAGCTAAACTTTGCAAAGATAGATGGCATAATAATGGAGCATTAACAAGATCTGGGATTTCAGTGTTTTTATTAAGGCTTATAAAATTGTTTTCACATGTTATTAATGTGCATCAATTTAATTTCTTCAAAGAAACTTTGGGAGTCTGACAAACTTTCTGTTCCTAAATGATGGTTGATGTTTTGGATACTATAACTGCAGAAAATATAGAATGTGAATGATGAAACATTTGCCTTGAATATATGAAAACATCATGCTTCTAATTTTCTTTTTAAGTTTTATTTTGATGTATTCTCATGGAGAAATAGGTTCATTATTGAAAGCTTAGTTTTGATAATAATTGGGCTTTGTTTTATGTGGTATTGGGGCAAAGAAGCTTTCTGTAGGACAAATGGATTTATCAATGTTTTTTCAAATGGTGAATCAGCCAACATATACTTGTAATTCATCTGCTTTTGTGATCTGGCTTGCTGTGTAATTTAGTTTACCATTATTTTGATGACCAAATTATTTTAAAAATATTTATTGAATGCCTACTGTATAAGAGCATTATATTCAGCATGGGTGGGACAAAAAGTAAAATGACACAGACCCTCAAGGATCCAGTAGGAAAGGGAAATATATACACAAATAACTACAGTGTAAGACAGTTTGCCATAGTGTCATGAGCTTTGTAGGATTTTAGATAATGGAGACAGCATTTTTGAGTGGCAGATCTGGGATGATTTCATGGAAGCAGAAGCATTTGACTAATTCACATAGCTTATAAATGAATATTAACATGGCAGTGTGAAGTATGAAGCCTGAAATGACAGCTCTCCCAATGTCAAAGATGTTGTCTTTATGAATGGGGAAAATCACTCTAATACCAGTAAGTGGTAAATATGTAAACATTACCATAAGTACTAATTTAAGGTAAATATTTGTACTTTTATAAATAAGTATTTTGTGTATAATGGGTAATTGATGTTTTTATGTTTTTAGGCCATGAATATTGTGGTTCCCTTCATGTTTAAATATGCTGTAGACAGCCTCAACCAGATGTCGGGAAACATGCTGAACCTGAGTGATGCACCAAATACAGTTGCAACCATGGCAACAGCAGTTCTGATTGGCTGTATGTGTGATTCTTTAATCTGTCTACAGGTGTTGACTTTCTTCAAGGAGGTTTCATCATATTTGAGCAGATGACCTTTTCACTACAAACACAACTTAGCGTTTTGGATGTTTGTTGTTTTATGTGAGATGTTTTGTATGTGTTTTTAAAAACTATTCTGTATGATACACTTTCAAAAAATTCCATGATAACAGTAGCATTTTTACAAGTTCTAGAAAACAATAATATAAAATAAGACATTAAATTCATAACAACCACTTCTAATAGTTAGGCTTTTTGTAACATCCATTTCCACAAAGGTCAATTATTTTCTTGCTGGCATTGTTAGCTATTAAATAGGAAATAGCTAAATAAAAATATATATGTACATAAATGCTTTATTAAAATATATTCATTAGTAATGACACAAATCTACAATTTGAAAAGAACAGAATATGAATGCTGTGTGTCCCATGCATTAGAAAGGACACTATGAGATTTGGGAGACATTAGTAGGGGTATGCCTTTAGTCAAGGCACTTGATTCTTCAGGGTCTCAATTTTATCACTTGTTATTTAGGAAGATTAAATTAGATAAAAAAAACCTCAACAGACACTGCACATTTATCCACAGTAATGCCATGTGGGCTATTATTTAAGTATTTTATTTGGAAAAAATATCTTTTAATGTCTGAAACCTGGAGGAAATAACACTGAAGGGATTCATAGTGGTGGAAAAGTTAATACTCATTAGGCTAGATTATTTCTAGGTTTCTTTTATTGTAAATATTCTGTGATATATTCATTCACTGAATTACTCATTGTACAAACATTTTCTGAGCCCTTGTCATTTCTATACTCCTTTGATTCTAATATTGTTACATCCTATTTTTTCTTTTGAATGTATTGTTAGATGGTGTATCAAGAGCTGGAGCTGCTTTTTTTAACGAAGTTCGAAATGCAGTATTTGGCAAGGTAGCCCAGAATTCAATCCGAAGAATAGCCAAAAATGTCTTTCTCCATCTTCACAACCTGGATCTGGGTTTTCACCTGAGCAGACAGACGGGAGCTTTATCTAAGGCTATTGACAGAGGAACAAGGGGTATCAGTTTTGTCCTGAGTGCTTTGGTATTTAATCTTCTTCCCATCATGTTTGAAGTGATGCTTGTCAGTGGTGTTTTGGTAAGTTAAACATTTTTCATAACAAGCTTTTATCTTAAATTCTCATTAGTAGCAATTGAATATTTGAAGCTGTTGTACTGTTGCATGCCCATGGGCTTGAAAGCAAAATTCCATGATGCCAGAAATATTATGCAGTTTAATTATTTTGCCACAAGCTTCAATGGACTGCTCAAATTCTTTATCGTGTTGTTATTGTAAATAACTGTTCAATTCTACACATAGATTAGTCATCAACTAGTACTTACAAGGTTTTTTTAAAGCAGAGATTTTTGTATATGACATTGGACTAATATGCTCAGAATATCTAGGTTTCTCATCACCATTCATAACATTTTAGGCAATTTCACCTTTTATTTTTTTTTCTCTGTTTCAACTTTTAGCTTCAGGGGGTACCTGTGCAAGTTTGTTACATGGGTAAATTATGTGTCACTGGGGTGTGGTGTACAAATTATTTCATCACCAGGTAGTGAGCATAGTACCTAATAGGTAGTTTTTTGCCTTCACTCATCTGCCACCCTCCACCCTCAATAGGCCCCAGTGTCCATTCCCCTCATTGTGTCTGTGTGTACTCATTGTTTAGCTCCCACTTATAAGTGAGAACATGTGGTATTTTGGTTTTCTGTTCCTGAGTTAATTCACTTAAGATAATGGTCTCCAGATGCATCCATGTTGCTGCAAAGGACATGATTTTGTTTTTCATGGCTGCATAGTATTCCATGATGTACATGGGCCACATTTTCTTTATTTAGTCCACCATTGATTGGCATCCATGTGTTTGCTATTGTGAATAGTGCTGCAATGAACATACGCATTTGTATGTCTTTATGGCAGAATGATTTATGTTCTTTTGAATATATATACACCCAGTAATGGGATTGCTGGATCAAATGGTAATTCTGTTTTAAGTTCTTTGAGAAATCTCCAAACTGCTTACAGTGGCTGAACTAATTTCCATTCCCACCAGCAGTGTATAAGTGTTCCCTTTTCTCTGCAACCTTGACAACATCTGTTATTTTTTGACTTTTTAATAATAGCCATTCTGACTCATCTGAGATGATATCTCATTGTGGTTTTGATTTGCATTTCTCTAATGATTAGCAATTTCACCTTTTATAGTTAAAAATATATGTATATATTTTTTATTCCTCTTTAGGCTTTTTGTACTATCTTCCTATTAGTATTTGATGGTACTACTGATGTAGCAAGTGCAGTTTGACTTTCTTCCCTTGTTGCCTAAAGTAGATTTTCTAAAGTATTTGATTTTTCACCCATCATTCACGTACATAACTTCACGCCACCATATTTTTGTTAAAATCTTTTGACCGAGATTTGCTGTTGTGTATTACAAACTGTTTGGGAAGAACAATAACTGTTTCACGTTTCTTCTTTGGACTTCCTTTTCTAGTATTACAAATGCGGTGCCCAGTTTGCTTTGGTAACCCTTGGAACACTTGGTACATACACAGCATTCACAGTTGCAGTCACACGGTGGAGGTAATTTATTCCCTAGAAGCCACATAAAATTTAGAAATTGTTTTGCTTTTATAACATGTATTTCATGCCTATGCAAATCTTTGTCTTACAGAACTAGATTTAGAATAGAAATGAACAAAGCAGATAATGATGCAGGTAATGCTGCTATAGACTCACTGCTGAATTATGAAACTGTGAAGGTAATATGTTTAATTATACTTTCCTCTGCCTTTCACACTGCACTAAGATTTGATCTACCATTTAATTTAATAGGTACTGTAAATTAGAGCTTCAGGTTAGGATATGATCTCTAGGCGTGATGGAATAATACTATTTTATTGTTTGTCTTTAGAAACTATCCTCTTTCCTTCTCAGTTTTTGTTTGGCACTATCAGATTTTTACCTTCTGAATTAATTTATAAGTGATCATAAATACAGTCATGCACTGTATAATGATGTTTTGGCATCTATGATGTTGGTCCCATAAGATAATAATGGAACTGAAAAGTTCCTGTCAGCAAGTGACATTGTAGCCATTGTAATGTTGTAGCACAATTCATTACTCTATTACTCATGTGTTTCTGGTAATGCTGGTGGAAACAAACCAGCTGCGCGACCCATCATTTAATATTTGATAATGATAAACTAGTATGTTAACTAGTATATGTATTTTTACACGTTTAATCATTATTTTAGAGTGTACGCCTTCTACTTCTAAAAACAAAGTTAACTGTAAAATAGACTCAGGTAAGTCCTTCAGGAGGTATTCCAGAAGAAGGCATTGTTGTCATGGGAGATAACAGCTCCATGCATGTTATTGCCCCTGAAGACCTTCCAGTAAAACGAGATGTGGAGGTAGAAGACAGTGATATTTGACCCTGATCCTATGTAGGTCTAGGCTAATGTGTGTGATTGTGTCTTAGTTTTTAACAAAAAAGTTTAAAAAGTAAAAAAAAAAAAAATTAAATAGAAAATAGCCTATAGAATAAGGATATGAAGAAAGAAAATATTTTTATACAGCTGTACAATGTGTGTTTTAAGCCAAGTTATTACAGAGTAAAAAAGTTTTTAAAAATTTAAGTTTGTAAAGTAAAAAAGTTACAGTAAGCTAATTTTAATGTGTTATTGAAGAAAGAAAATATTAAATAAATTTAGTGTAGCCTGAGCATACAGTGTTTATAAAGTCTACAGTAGTGTACGGTAATGCCCGAGGCCTTCATATTCACTCACCACTCACTCACTGACTCACCTAGAGCCATTTTCAGTCCTGCAGGATCCATTGCTGATAAGTGCTCTATACAGATATACCACTGCAAATCTTCTTTACTATATTTTTACTGTACCTTTTCTGTGTTTAGATACACAAATACCATTGTGTTACAATTTTCTACAATATTCAATATAGTAACGTGCTATACAGGTTTATAGCCTAGGAGCAATAGGCTATACCATATAGTCTAGGTGAGTGGTAGACTATACCATCTAGGTTTGTGTAAGTACACTCTATGATGATTGCACAGTCAAAATTACCTAAAGTATGCATTTCTCAGAACATATCTCTTTTGTTAAGTGATGCATGACTGTGTACCGTTAGCATCTTGATTCAGAATGAACAGTAAGCTAATCAAACTGGCATATAAATTCTTGACTCTCTTCTATCCCTCAGAGTGCCTAGCATAGTGCTTCTCATTAATTCTTTCATTTATTTGTTCATATTTCCATTTAACAAATAGTTACTGAATGCCTCTTATGTGTTCTAAGTGCTTTCACAGGGGAGGGTGGTAAAAAAAGATTACTTTCTGATCCCTGCTATCCCAGAATTTTATACTGTACCGAGAGAATTTAAGTATGCAGGTGACTAAATAAGAAGGCATAATGTTGTGAGGGTAGTGGGAATTGTCAATTCAGAGTCTCAGGGGAAGGCTTTGTGAAGGAAGTGTCATTGAAGATTTTGTTTTAGGTCGGGTTGCAATTAGATAAGCATTCAGTAAATATTCGTTGGGTGAATTTTGTGGACTTTTCAAATACAATTCATTATGGAAAACTGCAGGGATATCATAGTCCAATATATTGAGTCAATTTTTAAAATGGAATCTACAGTACAAAATTGTATTCATACATGAAGTCTGATGAAAAGTATACTAATCACTTAAGAGAATAAATTCTAATTATACTTGCCTATAGTTATTTTTATATATTTTGTAGTATTTTAATAATGAAAGATATGAAGCACAGAGATATGATGGATTTTTGAAGACGTATGAGACTGCTTCATTGAAAAGTACCTCTACTCTGGCTATGCTGAACTTTGGTCAAAGTGCTATTTTCAGTGTCGGTTTAACAGCTATAATGGTGCTCGCCAGTCAGGGAATTGTGGCAGGTAATGAGTCTGTGGCTATCACATTTACAGGCTGTTCAACTTTTATAAATAAAGATTAATGAAAGGAATGTGCATGCTTATCTTAATTATAAAGGATGTTAAAGTGCTTTCACATCCTTGGAGTACTTTTCTCTGTATCAGAATGTATTTACTTGATGGTTTGATAATGGTTTTTTAACTTCCTTTTGTTTAGCACTGCCTCACTCACTGATTGGGATTACTGTTTGGAACTACCTGTTCTTTTAAGAACAACTTTTTTTTTTAGTATCTAGCTTTTCTAATTTCTCTTGCAGACCTGTAAAGCAATGTAATTGATTTAGTGTTTAGTTCAAAGCACTAAACTGCACTCTTTTTTTTAAGAATTACCAGGAACCTTTTAATCTTTCTCCTCCTTTTTTTAGTTGCAAAACACTTCAAAAGTAAATGTCTGTCCCTCCTTTCTGGAAACCCTCCCCACCCCCACTCAGTTAGTATTCATTCATTCACTGTGACCTAAATATGTGGAAAATCTGTGGAAAACATATTTAGGTCACAACAACATTTTGTTGTTGTTGTTGTTGTTTCATTTTGTTTCCTTCAACTTGATGTACATCAGAATGGTTTATCATCCTTAATCGTGATATCTATTTTCTCCAATTTTTAATGTATACTAATTTTTAAATTCCTGTTTTACACTACAAAGAAACCATTGCTAGTGTCTTAGGGAAAAAAACAGAAAATTTTTAGCCTTCAATTTCTATCCTCACTTAAACCATTCTTTTTTATATATTATATATAGTGTATAGGTGGGTCTTTCCCATTCCTAACGTATACTAAGTTCCCTGTATTACCTAAATCGTGGATTAATGCTTTGAAATTGAGTTGACATAAGAGTTGTTGCTGATTAAGAATATTTTGTTCCGTCGTAATAGACTATAAACCTATCGTAAATTGGAAAAGTATGTAACATTTATCTAAAATACCCTTTTTTTCTTCTGCCTTTTAAGGTACCCTTACTGTTGGAGATCTAGTAATGGTGAATGGACTGCTTTTTCAGCTTTCATTACCCCTGAACTTTCTGGGAACTGTATATAGAGAGACTAGACAAGCACTCATAGATATGAACACCTTGTTTACTCTACTCAAGGTAGACACCCAAATTAAAGTAAGTAATCTATATAGTACCTTTTCAAAAGTATGTGAACATCATCCTATTAGTAGGATTATTCTAGGAATATTCCTACATCACCACATTAGCAAACCAATTTATTTTACTTGCAGGAATTGTCAGGGGTGGGGGTGCTATCACCTGTATTAAGAGGTTGTTAGAGCTTTCACTTCTGTGTTTAAAAACCTGGCCACGCATGGTGGCTCACTCCTGTAATCCCAGCATTTTGGGAGGCTGAGGCGGGTGGATCACCTGAGATCAAGAGTTCGAGACCAGCCTGACCAACATGAAGAAACCCTGTCTCTACTAAAAATACAAAATTAGCTGGGCGTGATGGCACATGCCTGTAATCCCAGCTACTCGGGAGGCTGAGTCAGGAGAATCGCTTGAACCTGGGAGGTGGAGGTTGTGGTGAGCCGAGATCCTGCCATTGCACTCCAGCCTGAGCAACAAGGGCGAACTCCGTCTCAAAATAAATAAATAAATAAATAAATAAATAAAATCTTACAATGTTAATGAAGACTATTATACTAGAAAGTAAATTTTGTTAAGTTGAATTATTTGTACTTACACTGAATTTACTTATCTAATAATGACATGGAATATATGATTGCCTCTCCTTGCATCCTCAGCCCCTTTCCTCCCCTGCCCATTATCCCTTCTCCCTCCCCAACCCCACCTCAAAAAAAAGTTGCTCAGAAACCAAAACATTCAGGGTTTGTTTTACCTTAGCCATGAAGCGTGAGAAAACAAATCTTTAAATGCATGCTTGGAAGTGGTCTAAGTCCACTTATAAACCTCCTTCTTTTCCATTATATCCTTTTTCTTTCTGTGAATTAGAAAATTGTCTTCGTAGCTGTACTCTAGGCAGTGCGTAAAGTGGCTTTTTTTTTCTCTTCCCTGCTAGGACAAAGTGATGGCATCTCCCCTTCAGATCACACCACAGACAGCTACCGTGGCCTTTGATAATGTGCATTTTGAATACATTGAGGGCCAGAAAGTCCTTAGTGGAATATCCTTTGAAGTCCCTGCAGGAAAGAAAGTGGCCATTGTAGGAGGTAGTGGGTCAGGGTGGGTAATTTAGTTATTTGTAAAATTCTGTATTATAGGCTGATGATTCCCAATGTAATATTTCTTTCTTTATCAAAATGATTACTGTGGTTTAAAACTGGGGTTTCCTAACATTAATAGGAGCTAAATAACCTTTCTTCATCTCCAATTTCAGGAAAAGCACAATAGTGAGGCTATTATTTCGCTTCTATGAGCCTCAAAAGGGTAGCATTTATCTTGCTGGTCAAAATATACAAGATGTGAGCCTGGAAAGCCTTCGGAGGGCAGTGGGAGTGGTACCTCAGGTATTTAAAAACAGAAAAAAACAAATTTTTGGAGGATTTATTGGGTTGATCAATCCGTAACTAGAACAGTTTGAATCAAGGGATCAACATATGCTACTGAAGTAGTCAGTATTAGACCCTACCAGTGAAATTCTGGTATCAAAAGGGATTTTTTAAAAAAGGAAAAGAAAAAACTTGAAGGAAAAATCTGCATGATAGGAAGCCCTGGAATGATAGCATAATAGAATACAAAGAACACAGACCTGGATTCTAACCCCATCTCTAATTGTCATTAGTTGTGTGGCCTGGGGCCTCCATTTTCTTATCTGTAAAATAAGGATGCCATTTATCTTATAGGATAGAATTATTGTGGATTAGAGATAATAAATATAAAATACCGAGTCTATCACATAATTGTTCAGAAAACGGAAACTACTATTGTAATTTGGAGCAGTTTTCAACATAGTAGATTTATAATAATTACAAAGTAGCTTGTCTGCCATCCTCAATTTTGTATGCCTTGTTAACCACTCTGCCCTCAGTACGAAACACAGTGCCGAACCCATGTTAAACATTTAATAAACACTTACTGTGTTACTTTGGAGGGAAAATAAATTCAAAGTAAGGTCTGAGAAGTTAAGAAGTAGATAGCCTTATAGGATGTGAGCTTTTTTATGATGAAAGCTTATAGAGAGACCTGGGAATTAGTTGCAGCTAGTATGTATTATAAAGTTGATTTCTGGAGCCAGAATCAAATCCCTGGGAGAATGGATCAAAATATGGGGAGAGGAAGAACTGTAAGAGAGTGATTGGATGGGGATATGTAGCTTGCAAAATGTCCCCTAAATGATCGCACACATGGACTCTCCCCTGTCCTCTTTTTCACTGAAAATCCCACATGTTAGTCAGGATGAGTCATTTAGAGAAATTATTGGGTAACTGTGTGAGATGATGGATATGTTAATTTGTTCACTATAGTAATCATTTTACTATCTATATGTATCTCATAACATCATGTTCTATACCTTAAATATATACAATACCATTTATAAATTTAAAAAATAAATCGTATCATTTAAATTGGATTAGATAATCTAATTTAATAATTCCAGTTCTTTCTCACATACCCCAGTTACGATTTTGGAGGACTATGTGGGCCCAGAAAACTGCCTTTTTGAAAATGCCTCCTAGGTTATTCTGATATAGATGGTTCATAGATTGTATGTTAAGTAACACTAATCTAGGCTGGGCACAGTGGCTCACACCTGTAATCCCAGCACTTTGGGAGGCCAAGGCAGGCAGATCGCCTAAGGTCGGGAGTTTGAGACCAGCCTGGCCAGCATGATGAAACCCCGTCTCTAGTAAAAATAGAAAAATTAGCTGAGCATGGTGGCAGGTGTCTGTAATCCTAGCTACTTGGGAAGCTGAGGCAGGAGAATTGCTTGAACCCAGGAGGCGGAGGTTGCAGTGAGCCGAGATCGCGCCATTGCACTCCAGCCTAGGCAACAGAGCTAGACTCAGTCTCAAAAATAAAAAAGAAAAAAAAAGGAAAAAGAAACACTAATCTAAACTGTGTGTCAAGTGAACTGGATTCTGAGCTGTGACTACTTAGGATTCAGTGTCCTCATCCATGTAAATAGATTCCTGCCATTCTTTTGGGCATTGTAACAATTATCCTCATCCTTTTGGGAAGTAACACATTCACAAAGGGAAAATATACATCATCAGTAAACGAAAGACTCTCATCCTCATTGGAGGCCTTAGCAATATAAATTAAATCAACAACAGGATACGTGTCATTTTTTCACCTATCAGATTGGTAAGGATTTTGAAATTCCTAATATCCAGTTTGGGCAAGGCTGTGTAAAATGGACAGTCTCTTGTTTTGCTGGTGGAAGTATACAGCTTTCCTGACAAGCAAATTGGCAGTGTGTATCAAGTTCCTGAAAAATATTCATACCCTTTATTCCAATAATTCTGCTTCTAGGAAATTTTAGTAAGGAAATAAACAGAGATGTGAACAAGTCTTTATATGCAAATATGTTCATTACAGCATTATTTATAGTAGCATCAGTTGGAAACAATGTAAATGTCCAACAGTAAGTAGATGGTTACAGTGTTATAGGATCAGAGTCATGCAGCCATTCATAAATATTGTGTTTTTAAAGAATATTGTCATGAAAAATATGCAAATACAAAGTATTAAAAAGGAGGATAGCAAGCAAAATATAATATCCTGATTTTATTATATTAAATGAATACATTGCAGTAGAGAAAAAAGATAGAAAATATCAATGTAATATTAGATCTTGCTACATGATGGGAATATGGATTATTTAAAGTTTAATTTATTAAACATTATTGTATATATTTAAGGTATCTAACATGATGTTATGAGATACATATAGATAATTATATTACTGTAGAGAAGCAAATTAACATGTCCATCATCTCACAGTTACCCATGTTTTTGTGACTAGAGCAGCTAAAATCTACCCATTTAGCAGAAATTACACCAAAAAAATCAGTATTTATTTTATATTAGTTTTTATATTTTCAAAATTTCCATCTAGCACATTTAGCTTTTTCCTAAATATAAATTATTTTAAAATAAGCAGTTTCTGTTTATACAATGAGCTTATTGAGTTTAAGTATTGTCTCAATATGAGAAATTTTATTAATAGGTATATAAATGATTTAAATACTATTTAAAGCAATATATGAAATTTTTGGTCTGATTATGATGTTAAAGAAGATGGGTATCCTGGTTAATGTGAACAAATGGAGTCATTTTATTTCACCTAACCATAGCCTTCCAACCGTTTAGAGATTGAAAGAAAAATGGGAGATGGATGCTCACTTGAAGTAAATTAGCTTTAGTGTGCCATGTGAGAATAAGTTGAAATATCAAATGAATGCTTGAAGTGAACTTTCTCCAAAAATATATATATTGCATAAATTATTTGTTTTCTGTTTTAATATCAATGTCAAAGCTTCTTAGAAACATAGGAAAACATATTCAAACCTCGTTAGTAATTAGGGAAATGCTAATTTAAACAAAAAACACATTTTTCCCCTAAGAATAGCAACACCTAAAAATTATTAATATCCAGGGTTTCTGAGTATATGAGGAACTGGCACCCTCATATGCTATTGGTTAGCGTGTACTTATACATTATTGGTTGCTGGTAGGGCCATATTTAGAAGACATTTGGGCAATAATATCAAAGGATAAAAGTATGCTTACCTTTAAACTCATCAGTCTACTTCTAGGAATTCTTACAGAAACACACAGTTGTACAAAGTCATATACATAATGTTTTATTCCAACATTGTAGTAGCATAAACTTGGAAATCACATTAATGTCCATCAGTAGGAGAATGTATAAATAAATTATGACATTTCCATAGTATGGAATATACAACTGTTAAAAAGAATGAGTTAGTTTTCTGTTATTGACATGGACAATCTCTATGATATGTTAACTGAAAAAAGCAATTGCAAAATAATATGTGTAGAATGACCATACTTGTGTTAGGGGAAAGAAACATATGTTTAGGTATATAAATTCACAGGAAGAAGTCTGGAATGATGCACACTAAATTGTTTATGATGACTACCCCTGGGAAGGGAATGGGATTTTGCAGATGAGGGATGATGAAAGGGACTGTCATGTTTTACCCTTTATGCCTTTGTCTCTTTACTATTTGAATTTTTAATAATGAACATAAATAGAGAGAGATATATAGATATAGATATATATTCATTCAGTATATCTGCTTCAGGATGCTGTCCTCTTCCATAATACTATTTATTACAACCTCTTATATGGAAACATCAGTGCTTCACCTGAGGAAGTGTATGCAGTGGCAAAATTAGCTGGACTTCATGATGCAATTCTTCGAATGCCACATGGATATGACACCCAAGTAGGGGAACGAGGACTCAAGCTTTCAGGTGATCAGAGATTTTAGACCTGCCCCCTTCTTGTATACTTCTTTCAAACTCTAATTTGTCAGAGCCATTTTTTAGAAAATGTAATGAGAGACTTCAAATGTAGTGCTCGTTGAGTCACATTTGATTGGGTTACTAATCTCCTAGCCCTCACTATAACCAATTCAACATATTAGTAACTATTCTCAAGTCATGCAAGTCTTTTTTTTTTCACTTGCAGCTGCAAACACTGTAGGTGTTTGATATTAAGTAAGTTATCAAAATATGCTCAGATCATTACTAACTTGTTATCTACAATCTTCATGATAAAGGAAAAACAAGATCGTTCTTTACCTGGGAAAGTAGTAAGGTTAGGGAGAAGTAATTTGATAACGAATAGTGTATATCTCTCATCATAACTTCCTAGATCATTAGAAGATGTTTTCAGTACTTGAGACCTCTTTATATTTGATCCTGTTAACTGCTATACTTTCCTTACAGCCAGATTCATTTTCATGTCCTTTGTTCTGTGGCCAAGGATATTTTGAGGCTTATACATTTCTTGTTAAATGTTTAATTATGAGATTGCTAGGTTTAAGAATGAATTACCCTAAAATGACTGATTTTTTTTTTGGAGGACACAGAAAAATGTTTCTTTACCCCCAAATTATTTGAATTCAAAAGTATAGCAATGTCTAGTTTAGTTTGGGCAGGAAATGTATCGATTATAGATAGAGGTAAGGCAAAAATAGAATGAGAAATACTCTATATGAATTTTAACGAATCCACATTCCTCTTCATTATAAACTGGCTTCATTTATTAGATACACACTATGTGCAAGCTACTATGCTAAATGATTTGAAAGTTAAAAAAATGAAGCATAAACAGGCCTGTTATTCAGGAATTGGCAATCTGTTAGAAAGTTTTGGGCTAGGTTTAGAAAATTTTAAGCAAAGATTATTTCCAAGTTAAGTTGATTGGGTCATTACCTGGTAGTATAAGATGCCAGTATCATTCCAGTCCACATTTACACTTTATTACTGCTTTTAATAGGAGTAATTTCCAGTTATCTGGCCCACCCCCAAATTATGTGTCCGTTTGGCTAATTCTGGCGATCCCTAATTTATCACGTAATATGAACTAGCCCTCTTAATGCATGACTTTGCCTCAGCCAGCTATGCTGTGTTCCATTTTCTAATCTTATTTTTCCTTTCTGCATGCCTTTGAGGGATAGGAATAGCTAAAGAAATTTTATTCTTACCTATTTCTCATTTCCTTATAACCAAACCTCTCAAAATGAGCAATTTATTATTTATCATCTATGCTAATAATTATGTTAGAGAATAAACAGACATTTCTTCTCCAAGTTCCAAAATACCGTTGAATAGAATTACAACTGAGTTGGTTTCCACTTGAAATTTGAGAGGCACTTCAAAACTAGTCCTTCCTCTGAATATCTACTTCTTTGAGGAACTTTCTGCTACTGGGCTGATAGGTAGGCGGGAAGATAGTACTTATGGTACCTGCCTTGTTAGGAGAATTTTGATCCTGTGAGGTGGGGAAGCGTATGGCTAGCATAAATATAAACTTACTAATATTAAAAATAAGGAACCCCTTTATAGGCCAAAGATAATAATTGTAGAATAAGTAAAAATAAAAATATTTAATGTACCAGGTAATGGATAGAGCTTATTTCCTAATAAGCTGAAAAATATGTTTTTCAGATATTGGTAATGTATAATAGACAAGAAAAGAAGCCAAAAGGGACATAGTCAGCAGAGTACCATCTTCTGTACTTCCAACTATAGTTCTATATAAGATTGATGACCTTAGACCTACAGTAGTCTCAGTAATAAAGGTTTCTATACATTTCACTACATATTTTCACTGTTTATTTAAGAAATACTTTCTAAATATTTATTCTTGTATTTAGGAATAAATGTGGGCTTACACATTGTGATAAGAAGAGCATTGGACTGAAATGGGTCTAGTCCAGATTCTTGCTCGGTGACCTTGAGCAAATCACTTAACTTTTCTGGGCCTATATCCTTTCTATTTTAAAAATTTGATATGCTAGAGACCTATAATAAATACCTGAATAAAGGAAAAGATATCTAGTGTATGCCTTTAACTTTGAAGAATGCTGTGAAAATAATAGCTTTCTATCAAAAAACAATCCTTGAGAATACTGGCTGAATGCTACTTTTTTATCTTAAGAGACGAATTCAGTTATTCATAGTTTAATGTCTTCAAGTTTCAGGTTTCAGATATTGATTTTTTTGGCATTGTCAATTCTGTCATTGAAATTTTTCTGAGATTGCAGTTCATTGAGAATTATCTGTAATATAAAGTAACATATAATGAGCATGCTTCTGGTAGAAGAATAATAGTAGAATCAAAGTTGTTACCTTACTGCCTCATTCTCATTCTTCCCACCTGCTATGAAGTCAGAATTCAGTAGTGCATTCATGTTTCAGGGAATATAATTTGTCAAAAGATATTGTATATGAACTTCAACTCTACAACTCAGTAAAATGAACTGTGATCAGGAGAATAAGGAAATGTTCAGTGTATTACTTGGTGGTTGTAATCAATGGAAACACTAAAAACATAAAATATGCATGCACTATGCTTCCTTAAAGTAAAATTTTCCTTTACCAGGAGGAGAAAAGCAAAGAGTAGCAATTGCAAGAGCCATTTTGAAGGACCCCCCAGTCATACTCTATGATGAAGCTACTTCATCGTTAGATTCGATTACTGAAGAGGTAAGTTATGATTAAAATATAAAGCTCTTCAATGTTTAACTTTTCTACTTGGAAGTTTCAGTAAAATGGCTGCATTACTTTGTATTTTGAATAAACTTCAATAGTAAGTGCTATAGAGCAAAATGCCTATCCCCCTTTTTCCATATGGCAAGTGTTGATGGTAAGAATACCAGGTTGTATTGAACTAGAGATACCACAGTGTTAAGTCCATTTGCAAATGTGTCTCCTTTTGGAACTATGTGATACCTTATGCTGTTGTTGTATTGCCCTTGCATCTTACAAAGCTGTAGGAATCACCTGATATGCTGACAAAGGAAGAAAGTTTTAGTCTCTCTCCTATTGCCACTTAACACTCATTAAAATAGTCATGGAAGTGATTGTGAAACCTGTGACATGGTACATACCAGAAAGCCTTTCACTTATCATGGAGCGACTCATGAGATGCAAGTCAGGCACACACAACCTGCAGTGCTGGTATCAATTTGTATTCATTTCACTGGAAGTGTTATGAAACACCAAGATGTGACACTGATGTCAATGACATTGCCCCACAGCTGCATTAGATTTTATAGCAACATCTTTACATTACATACAAAAGTCTCAACAACAATGGTAATTTCATTATCATATCCCCTTAATCTAGAACTGAAGATAGGCAGATGCATTTGTCAATTGCCTTCATTCAACTACCTTTTAATTCAATACATAGTATAAAGCTAGTGTTGAAGGATAGGCCTAATTCAGCTTTGCAGGCTGTGTGACATAATATTTTCATACGGAGTTAAGTTTCAGGGCCCATTGTTTGATCTGCAGCATATTTAAAGCAATTTAATTTTGAAGTGAATTGGTTAGCATATATTTAAAGTGACCCATAAGCAGGACCAGACCCCATTCACAGGAAAAATAGGAACATGCTTATAAGAACTTTTTACCTAAAAATGTGTCATACTACCACAAACTAAAAGACCTACCAACAGTCATTATTTGAGTCACACAGCTTTATTATGTCAGAGAGCATAACCCATTAAGAGCCAATAGACAACCCGCCAAGGGGAGGAGTTATTAGAAGATGTGGTAAATTTTAATGGGCCTTTTTAAAAAGTCCAGAGTCTTCAGTAGGATGTCAGAGTTTAAGTTGTTAAAGGTTAAAAAAGGAGTCCTCACAAACATAACAGGCTTTCTTAGTATTGGCCTTGTACCTTATTATCAGTCTGCCCTAGTAAAATAAGATCTTTTCCTGGGTAACCATCTGCTCTTGATAATTTTATTCCTTTAATAAATAAAATGTTCAGAAATATCTGTAGGAAATTTGGGTATATCCCCATCCCCCACACTGCTATTTCCATCTAGCTTGCTGTACTTAGACCCAGGTTTCCAAGTATAGCTGAATATATGTACAACTCTTATACTTTACAGGGAATAAACAAAAATGTATTTCCCGGATGCGTTAGGAAGTCAGAATGCTTTTGAAAAAGAGGTTTCTGCAGTTAAAAATATACAGTTATCATTGTTTCCCCTTCTGTCCACTGAGTTTGAACTAAGGAAAAGCAAATGTTCCTATACTCTTTGAATCTCCCTATCTCTGGATTATTTTGAATTTCTCTGTGTCCTGTCACTTAAGTCTCTCCTCATTTTAGTTTTGTTCTCATTGGTAAACATTATATGTGGCTATGTTCCTGATATCACAAGAGTTGTTTATTTGTACTTGTATAGAAAATATCTACTTTCTCCCAGATTTTGTAACTTGGAGAAATGTTGCCTAAGAATTTTTTTCCACGATAATGTGATCATAGTTGCCTTCTCTTTTTGCTTTCTCCTCTTCCTTTTAGCAGATATTAGATTAGGTCTAATATTTGGTATCAGTATAAAGTTACATACTAAAAAAAAACTGGCATTTTTTATGTTCCTTTAGGAAATGTATGATTATTTTAATTTACATTTGCCTAATGTGTACTTCTTTTTATTTTCTCCTGTTCTTCATATTACCAAACTTGCAGACTATTCTTGGTGCCATGAAGGATGTGGTCAAACACAGAACTTCTATTTTCATTGCACACAGATTGTCAACAGTGGTTGATGCAGATGAAATCATTGTCTTGGATCAGGTAAGACATTTAACTTTAAAGTTTAGTATTTGAGGAACACTGGAAATTGTTATAGATACAAGAAGCTTAAATATTGTTTCTTACATTATTTGGTTGAGACTGAATCCTGTTACGATTCTGTTTTTAGCCCCTTTTGATTGGAAATAATGCATGTCACTTCCAAGAAGGAATAAAGTATATTAACTCACTCTTTATTAAAGTATTATAAGCAAAAGTTTAATCAGGAAAGCATTAAATCTTCACGATAGAAGCAGGTTTTTCAATGGTGCATATATAAAATAACTTTTCTGCCTTCAGTTTTGCTCTGAATAGACTCTTTGCTTGGTGTCTTTGCTGTATTATATGTTTTTGTTTTTCTAATACCTGCACATACCCTTGATGGTTAAAAGAAAATTACCATAAAATAAAGTGGTCATTTTCAAACATGGTCATTTTTATTTTATGTTTTTCCTTTTCGGGAAAGTAAGAAAAAAGATAGCCTGCTTTATCTCTTCTAAGGGAATTACTATATGAGTATACTGTAAAAGTCTAGACAAATCAGAGTACCACTATTGTGATGGGTAGATTTGAAAATTGCAATAATTTTTCTTTTCTTCTTTCTGTAAGGACCTCTTCTCCCCACACCCCTCTAGTATTTGATTATTTCTAACATTATGCAGTTTTCCACCCTGCATTCAGCCTTTTCTGTAATTATTTTTCCCTTCTAATAAATATATCTTCAATTCTTTATCATTTTGGTTTTTTTTTTTCCTTTTTGAGGCAGGGTCTTACTTTGTCACCCAGGAGTACAGTGGCGCGATCTCGGCTCACTGCAGCCTCGAACTCCTGGGCTCAAGCAATCCTCCCACCTCAGCCCCCCAAGTAGCTGGGACTATACAGGCATGTGCCACACACCTAGCTAATTTTTTGTAGAGATAGGGTTTCACCATGTTGCCCAGGCTGGTCTTAAACTCCTGAGCTCAGGTGATCCGCCCACCTTAGACTCCCAAAGTGCGCTGGGATTACAGGCGTGAACCATCACACCTGGTCACATTTTGAAAACCTGTGTACTAAGAGTTTAGAGAGAAGCATTCTCATGTACTGTCTGTATATTGAGCTATTTAAAGGGACTTTTTCACTCCACTAACATTTCTTATAGGGTATTCAGTGTTGTGGTTTGTATACTATTACCTTCATAAGTTGCTTACATACTTGTGACCCTAGGCCTTTCTGTTGGTTTGTTCTTAAATATTTATATTCATTACCAAACTGATTTTTCCAGTATGGTTGTACCAGAATGTCTTAAATGGGAAATTTTGTAAATAATACCTTATTATATCATTGATGTTCAAGAATCTTAAATAAAATCTGCTACTTTTTTATAAGCTTTCTGATTCTATGCAGCCAAGTAGTAATAGCCTTTTATTACAAATAGAAGTTGTTAAAATACGTTAGCAGGCATGTGATTACCTGCCTCATGCCATGTAATTACCTGCCTCATGCCATGTAATTCACAGTATCTATACACTTATTTTACACCATTGCCACTTGGGTTTTGGGTTATAATTGGACCTAATTTATTAATGATCATAGCAACTGTATCTAAACAAGAATCTCTTTATTATTCATAATTTGATGATTCTATAGTTGTCTGATTATGAAGATAACAGATTTTCATTTTCTAGTGAAACTAATATGACCTTAGCTTTGACTAATAATCTGTCACCTCCTGTGTTCTGTCAGCAATTTCTTGTAGTAGTGTTAATGTTAAGACGGCATATCTAGGGAACTTCTAGTTAAACATGGAAGGTTGGATACATTTGTTTATCTCTTCTTCCCCTAACCATACTAAAATGAAAGTGAAGAAATAAAATAAGCATAATAAGTATACAGCCGTAAGGACAAAGATAATAGGAGAAGGAGTAACAGTGGACAAGAGATACCAGCAAATTGGGGGAAACTGGTAAGTAGACAGATTAGCAGAGCTAAAAAGTTGTGTGTCAAAAGAGAGAGACATCAATTTAAAAAAAAGCAAGTTGATTCATGTTGTAGACCCCTGAAAAGGCTCAGGAATTAAAGGCACCAGATATGATGAAAAGTGGCGATAAGCATGAGGTTGAAAGTAACAGAATTAAGTGTAAGACTACATAAGAAATAAAGTTCCCAGGTCCCTTTCTCACCCCCACAGCCTGGTGTTTATACTCCTTCCTAACCTTAGCAAGAGTCTGGAGATTTACTTATCAGGAAATTACTGGCTTTGGACACAAGCAGACCACCAGGCACATTAACAATGAAGGGAGAGATTAACTGAAAATCAAAACATACCAAAGGATAGGACCACAGACCCTCTTGTGCCACTGGCTCCAAGAACTTTGCCAACCAGTTGTTTATTTTTACCATCACTACTCCTTAACTCATCAGCAAATAATAGGAGGATTCTTCTCTGGAGAAACAAAAGCAGCCCCAGGAAAAAAAAAAAAGATATTTGTATTTGAGAACCCCAACAAAATGTCCAGATATCTACATAATCATCCTACCATGAAGTCCAGTGGTTTAGAAAGGCATATTGATGCACACAGAGCTTCCGGTCAGCCTTTCAATGCTCTATTCTTAAATGTCAGTGGATAGACCTCCAAAACAGAGAAAAAAGGAACTCAATGGAAAATGTAGACTTTCTTAATATGCTCAGAGATTGTGGAAAATACAGTATTTCTAAAATAAGGACAGAAGAAAAAAAAAGTAACCTGTAATCCCAGCCACTTGGGAGACTGAGGCAAGAGGATGACTTGAGCCCAGGAGGTGGAGACCAGCCTGGACAACATAGCGAGACTCTGTCTCCAAAAATTAAAAAAAAAAAAGTAAAGGAAACTTATATGGCATGATCTGTAGAATATATTGGTAAGTGAAAAAAAAAAGTAAGATACAAAAGAGAATATAGCATGCTACCTTTTGCAAAGAAGATAAGGAAAAAGGAATATATGTATATCTGCTTATTTTTGCAAAAAGAAACTCAAAGGATAAACTAGAAACTAAAGCAATTGGCTGCCTATGGGATGTGGGTACAAAGGGTTAGAAGAGATACGGAAAAGAGAATGAAGTTTTAATATTTCTTTTACTTTTGAACCATGCTTAGTGTTTTTATACCTTCAAAAATAAAATTAAATCAACAAGGATGGGGAAAAATAAAAATTGAATACAAACAGAAAGAAGTAAAACGAATTGCATATAAAATTGCTAACATAACCACACAGAAGAAAAATAGAATTAAGCCAAGTAACTTTTGAATATATTACTTTGATTATATACCCTTAGTGGAATATATTATAAAGACAAAAATAACCCAAAGGAAATTTGAACCTAGTGTATTGTTGGTAGTAGTGTGGGGGTAACCATTTTGAGACTATTTTTGTGTATAGTGTAAGATTGAGCTTATGAGTAAATACATTGATGTTGGGAAACAGATCTCTTGGAGAAGAAAGATAAAAATATGGAATTGGCAAGGAAGAGGAGAACCTTGCGATATATTGGAATAGTATTATCAGTCTGAATTTATGATTTAAAAAAAATGTCCCAACTCTATTCACTGAAGAGGCCTAGAAGCTGTGAAAACCCAGTAGTAATGGGTATACTTGGCACCCAGATCTTGGGCACTAAATACTGTTCCTCACTAAAAGGAGCCAAGACTTTTTGGAGAAGTAGTTGATTCCCGATCTGGGTCAGGGGAACTAATGAACACAAGTCATGAGGACAAAGGAACCATTTTGAATGAGCTCCCACTAGCCAATTGGGGCATAAAAAGAGTAATGACACTAATTATAATACATTAAATAAAAAACATCTAAGCATCCATGATGATACTGCTAAAACAAAAATTATCAAGGGGAAAGGGACAATTCCCCTTTAGGAAGAAAGCCAACTAACACGTGAAATGTAAAAGGAATTACAAATTCAGAAAATCACACTTTACAGCCACCATTGTAATAATTGATTCAGGTAAGGGTCCTCACTGGTTGCTGAAACCATATGGTATAAAGCTATTGAGGCTAGAATATTTGCACGGTTTGAAATTACCATAGGTTACTTACTAATTAGAGAAAAAATACCTTGAAAATAGAGAAATAGAGAAACTGGTAGATGTCACCTTAACCAATTGATCAAACCTAATATCAGTAATGGAGCAAATTGAACTCATGTACCTCCTGATGTAATGCACTGAAGATGTATTATCTTTTCTTTCTACCCAAAATGTTTAACTTGGGCTGGGCATGGTGGCTCATGCTGGTAATAACAGCACTTTGGGAGGCAGAGGTGGGAGGATTACCTGAGCCCAGAAGTTCCAGACCAGCCTGGGCAACATAGCAAGAGTCTATCTCAAAAAAAAAAAATTTAGCCTGAATCTAATAATCAGAAACAACTAGACAAATACAAATTGAAGGGCAGTCTTTTAAAAACAGGACTGGACATTTTAGAAATATCAATGTCACAAACACACACAGACTAGAACGAAGCTGTTATAAATTCAATGTGTTGATCCTGATTGGATCCTAGATGGAAAAAAAGTATAAAGGACATTATTGGTACAATTGATGAAGTTTGAATATGGACTGTATGTTAAATAAGAATATCGTATCACTGTTCAGTTTTTTGTGTGTGTTTTTTGGTTGTTTTTTTTTTTTTTTTTTTTTTTTTTGGTAGAGATGGGCGGGGGGGTGTCTCATCATGTTGCCCAGGCTAGTCTCAAACTCCTGGGCTCAAGCAATCCTCTCATCTCGGCCTCCCAAAGAACTGGGATTACAGGCATGAGCCACCATGGCCGGCCATTGTTAAATTTCCTGAGTGTGGTATAGTTGTATTTCAGTAATGTAGGAGAATGTCTTTGTTTTTAGGAGATACATGCTAATGAAATATTTAGGGGTGAAGTGTAATGATGTCTGCAGCTCATTCTCAGATTGTGTAGCAAAAAAATCATGTATATATAGAGAGAAGGTGAGGTGGAGAAAGCAAATGTAGGAAAAAATAATGGTTGCCAAACTAGGAGAAGCATATAAAGTTGTTCATTGTGTCACTCTTGAAATATTTCAAAATTTTAAAATGGATTTGGTGAATAAATAAATAAAGGAATGACCTGAGAACAAGATTTTTGAAATGAGAAATGTCTTTGCTGAAATAAAGTCAAGGAAATCTCCAAAAGAAAGAGAATATAGAGAAAAGATCAGAAAACAAGAGAATTTATCTAAAAAGTCCAACATCTGACTAGTGGTAGTTCTAGAGAGGCCAGAAACAGGGGAGGAAATTGTCAAATAGTAGGTTGGTACAAAAGTTATTGTGGTTTTTGCCGTAGAAAGTAATACCAAAAAAGTGTCTAGAACTTCAGAGCAAGAGTTTCTAGATTGAAAGGGCCTGAGTACCCACCACAATGAATGGAAAGGAAAAATAAAGCTGTACCAGGGCACATTATCATACAATTTCAGAATTGAGGATGTAGAAAACAACCTAAAAGCTCTGAAGGGAATATCTCTGGGTGGTGAGGTGAAATAAACTAATAGATTACTTAATGTAGTTGATTATGAGAAAAATACTGTTGAGAAGGGTTTTGTGATTGTGTAATAAACTTTGGAGAGATTTCCAATAGTGACACAGAAAACTAAGCAAATGAAAAAAAAAAACAAGGAAGTTACTAAGTCTAGGAGAATTAAAAGACTATATAAGAAAATAAATATAAAATCCTAGTACCTACTTAGCTAAGCAGGGAATACTTACAAAGTCGTAATAAGGTAAACACTGAATCAAAATTTGTGATGTAACTGATGTTATTAGGAGAGTATATGATGTAGTAGTGGGAATGTGGGATAGTATGAGTGTTGAATCTCCGTATTCCATAGTAGGAAGTTAGTAGATAATGCCAGAAATGAATAAATCAAGGAATAGTGGTATAACCTTACATGTAAATACTTAAATGTAGGCACAGACATTTCAGTTATTTTACTTAAGGGTTTATTGTAAAAGTCTTGTTACCAGGAATACCAGTAAAAGTGACAGAAGTCCTTTTGTCTCTCAGCATGGTTAACCGTAGCTATCAAGAAACAAATTAATTGTAGATGAGAGTTTGGAATCTATACCACCAAATCTTTGCAGTGTTAAGTTTAATAACCATTGTTAACAAAAATAGCCACTGGAAGAAGTAAACTTTTCATTTTCATTAAATCTTTTTTATTTTATGAAATCTTTTTTATTTCAAAGTACACATAAGGATTTAAGGATATTATTTTTAAATCTTTTAAGTCTCTGTAAATAACAGTGCTTTTGATTTGAATATTTGCTGATTACAGAAAATATCACCTGTTTACATTTTAACCTTCCCTTTCTTCCCTTCAAAATGACAAATGAAACATTACAATTTTATTTCCTTTAAATAAAATGGTGTTTATGGTATTAGAAATTTTATAGCCTTTTGTTTGTTCTGGCACTGGGTAGCTCAACAGGGAGGAAAGCATTCCTACCTAAATTTTTTTCACTTATACTGTGTATGAGGAATTGGGAGAAGTATTTTAATGAATGCAAATCCTTCAAACTCCTTAGTTAGAAAGTATTTGGTATTTTCAGTTATTATGCTAGTTAAATGACCTTTCTCCGTGTTTCTCATGTGTTTACTTTTTAGGGTAAGGTAGCCGAACGTGGTACCCACCATGGTTTGCTTGCTAACCCTCATAGTATCTATTCAGAAATGTGGCATACACAGAGCAGCCGTGTGCAGAACCATGATAACCCCAAATGGGAAGCAAAGAAAGAAAATATATCCAAAGAGGAGGAAAGAAAGAAACTACAAGAAGAAATTGTCAATAGTGTGAAAGGCTGTGGAAACTGTTCGTGCTAAGTCACATAAGACATTTTCTTTTTTTGTTGTTTTGGACTACATATTTGCACTGAAGCAGAATTGTTTTATTAAAAAAATCATACATTCCCATTTTCTATAATCCTTCTTTTAGATAAGATTTATTTAAAAGGGGATTTGAGTTTTACATCTTTCATAGTCTATTTAATGTGGCATCTGTATTTATCCCCAAATTATTTTCTTGTCACTGTCCTGGTTGTGCTCAATGCATACTTTTTGCTACCTGTTTGATATTACCACATTACCCTCTTGAGGCCTGACATTCATTTGATCTATAGCCAGATGAATCAGATTGGTTTCCCAATTTTTATAGTTTTTAAAACCTTTATGCTGACAATTTAGAGGGAAAGTGTCTGTTTCTTAACATGAAAGAAAAAGAGGATAGTGTAGGTTCATTGTTTCTTCTCCCTCCTTCGTCCAATTGAAATTGATGTGAAAATGAATTTATAAACTTTTAAAATTAGAATGTATCAGAAATAGACATGCATTTATAGTTTGATGTCTTACTTGATAGGTTACTTACTTTTTTCTTTTTTGTTTTGTTGTTTTTTGTTTTTTGTTGTTTTTTTTTTTTGAGACAGATTCTCATTCTGTCACCCAGGCTGGAGTTCAGTGGCACATCTCGGCTCTCTGCAACCTCTGTCTTCTGAGTTCAAGCAATTATCATGCCTTGGCCTCCCAAGTAGCTGGAATTACAGGCGCATGACACCACACCTGGCTAATTTTTCTGTTTTTAGTAGAGACAGGGTTTTGCCATGTTGGCCAGGCTGGTCTTGAACTCCTGACCTCACATGATCCGCCCACCTTGGCCTCCCAAAGTTCTGGGATTACAGGTGTGAGCCATCATGCCCAGCCTATACTTAGAATTTTTTTTTTTTTTTTTTTGAGACGGAGTCTCGCTCTTTCTCCCAGGCTGGAGTGCAGTGGCGCGATCTCGGCTCACTGCAAGCTCCGCCTCCTGGGTTCACGCCATTCTCCTGCCTCAGCCTCCTGAGTAGGTGGGACTACAGGCGCCCGCCACCATGCCTGGCTAATTTTTTTGTATTTTTAGTAGAGATGGGGCTTCACCGTGTTAGCCAGGATGGTCTCAATCTCCTGACCTCGTGATCTGCCCGCCTCGGCCTCCCAAAGTGCTGGGATTACAGGCTTGAGCCACCGCACCCGGCCGCTAGAATTTTTGAAGTATTTGCAACTATGTACTTTTTGAAGGAAAAAAACCTTCATTCTCATGTCGCTATGTAGAATATTCTTCATCATTAAGCAGCACCATAACTATCATCTAGTGATTAGAATTTTATTTTTCCATAAAAATATGAGGCACTGTTTTTGTTTTGGACAAAACTACACATTTTTCTTTAAAGATTTACAAACTCCTATGTAATTTGAAAGTTGCTATACTGGGAGTAATCTGAAAAGCTTAGAAAGTTCATTTCCTTTTATATTTCCATCTTAAATGTGCTGCTTTTTCTATTCGAAGTTTACAAAGAAACAAGTAAATGGGATGTCGTGCATGTATGCACATGCTCACACGTGTATAAATCAGTGTCCATTTAAAAAATATTAACATTTAGGTAAATAGAGTATTACATATTATACTCTTTAGATGATCAAGACTCTAATCTGTGTTGACACTTCAGAATTTATTAAAAGATCTTCCCTTACTTTTCAGTAATTTAATTAGTTTCTTTAAGCCTGACATAACGAGGAGGAGCCCAAACAACATAATCAAGTTTTACCTTGGGAGGAAAAAAAGTTTTACCTGCTAGAAAGAATTAATAAAATATTGCTATACATTCACTTAGAAAGTTCTTCTCTTTTCCAGTATGAACTTGCTTTCATTTGTTTGGTAGTAATCATTCAATTTGAAAACATATGCACCTCATGAATGGCCACATAACTATGTAATAAGGTTTTATTTCTCAGAAAAGGTCCTAATATTTTATTGGTTTATAGTTTTAAGAAATTTTTCATGATAATTTGATATGGGAGAGATTAATTTTAGTATTGTTGACATTGGTGGGTGGATAGCTGAACTTATCTAACTTAGGTGTCCACTCTTGCTATATAAAGGTAATTTGATAAGTAACATGAAACCAGTATTTCGTAGTCTTTGCTGCCAGAGTAAGTGATGCAAGATCTTGCTTTTAAAGCTAGAGTTAATACTGAGATGCATAATCAACTGAAAAGTGGATTAGTTTTTTTTTTTTTTTCCTTTTCAACATTTCTTACTCTGAAACCATAGTTGTTACTGCTCTTCTGGGGGTGGGGTGAGTACTTTTAATAAACCAGTTGCATTACTGGAAATGTGGTTAAAGTCTCAATAGAAATTTTGCTTCTTTGTTAATTCCCTCTATACATTTCCAGTGATGCTGATGGAAAAGATTTTGCTTAGCCGCATAAACAAACACATAATACTGAAGTAACCATCAGCAATAATTCATTTTGAGGTGTGAATAGTGTTCAAAGTAAGTTATTTTGTGATATGGGAAACCTTTAGTCCAAGAAGGTTAGGAATGTTTCCAAGGTGTGGATAATTTTCCCACTAAGAGATACAAAGCTATTTTTTTTTCGTATGATTGTAAGTGGTCCCTACGCCATTGTCGTCATTAACCATTATTTTCAACTAACAAAATCTTAAATTACTTGAAAAGCAGTTATTGTAGGGTCCATAACTAAGTCTTAAAGGCATTTCTTTTAACCACTTCATATTAAGGTAGTTCTATACAGGGAAATAATAGACAAATTAAGATGAAAGAAAAGCTTCCTAGGATGATTCATTCAGAGGAAATGCCAAGAAAAAGGGCATTTAATTATAGGGTACTAATTTTACATTATAATATTATGTACTCACACAAAAGGATAAAGTGTATAAATTTCTAAATCAGTGTTGCAACATAATGTTTTTTAATATATTGAGATGAATCAGGTACAGTTTTAGAATATGGAATCTGAAAATGGAGCAAGATGATAGGGTTTTATTTTTTATGTCTCTTTATTTTAAAGATTGAAAATTTTACTTTCTTCCTAAGGGACTTCCAGTTTACAAAAATTAAGTTGAAACCAAGGTAATTTGGGATTGTAAAAACTGGGCCAGATGCCTTACTGAAGGTTCTTAACATAGAAATATCTTGGTGAGCAGATGGGCTCATTTGGAAATTTTTAACAGCTCAAGTCTGAGGGTCACTTTTGAAAATCAGAAAGAGACCTTAGCATTTGGACATGAACAAGCTCAAGATAAGCCTTATGTTTTTCCTCTACAGAGATTTGCACCTTTTATAAACCTTAAGATAAATATTGTGTCATTCCTTTGGATGTTGACAAAGTAGTTTGTGAAGATGGCTGTTTTTAAAAAAGTTTTTGCTTTAAAGGCAAGATATTTAAAGATTGTATGATTCCTTATTTCTGGATCTCTTTGTCCATACTGCCATCTTGCTCTTATCCTTCCTACTTGCTGAATGTGTTGCTGAGTAGCAACTTTTGCCAGTGTATATTCACAATTCTCTTACCTTGTATCTTTAGTACTAGATAGTCTGTCCTGGATTAATAGTTGAAAGCATTTAAATATGTTTGCAATTGCAGTTTTCTTAAATTGTAAACAAATCCCTTTGAATATATAGATTTTTAATGTAAATTTTATAGTAAATGATAATACCAAATCAAATAGATTAAAACTGGTCAGTTAAGACAAAATAACTCAGTCAGAGAGGCCCTTAACCTCACTGTTATTGTTTATAGCAATCTATGTAGATAAACATTACTAAATAACATTATATTTGTGACAAGAAATGGGTATCCCATTGAAGCAACTCTTCTCTGCAGTGTCCAGGGAAAACTGATATTTTGTCATTCACATACTGAGAATAAATACAGATAATTAAGAGACACTCCGAGGGTATGACCTTACAGCCTTATGCAGAAGGTAAAAACTTGGAATTGTTTCTAAGTAATTGTGAAGCTCATAATGTGGGTAAAATGGCAGCAAATTATAGTGTGCTTTCAGTTGACATTAAGCTGTCATAATTTTGATGATCAATCAGTGAAAGGCAAGTTTCTGTTGCCCCCAGTTTCTCAGTTCTAATGATTAGGAAGTAAACTTTTGGGTATAGAAATGTCTTGACTGCAAATCATGTGATAAACTAGCATTTTTATTAGCTAGGTAGAGTTGGAAATGAAATGCATGCTCTAATTAATAACAGGTTGGAGCATTTTTTGGTTGAAAAAGGTGAGTGGATTGTTTCCATACTTCCTGTTGTTACACAACTACAGTAGTTTCAGTTTCATAAAATCATGAGATTTTAAAGTTAGAAGGAGTTTAGAGGTCATTTAATACAATCCCCTCATTCTACAAATGAGGAAACAGGCCAAGTTGGGATGAAAACCCTGGCTCCTGACACCTAGTCCGTTCTTCCTTCTACTGCACCACATTTCCACTGAAGTTACATTTAAAAATAAATTGGAAGCCAACGAGGTTTATCCGAGGCACAGTTATTGCTAATTGAAAATTTTTCCCGATACCTGGCCATTATGACTTGAAATACAGTTGGCATTGGTGAAATAAATAAATTGGAGAGTAGGACTTCCATAATAGCAAAGTAAGGAGCTCAATAGACCCTCTCCCCAGCAAAACAACATTTTTACTGGTAAAATTGTTTTTTAAAACAATCATTTAAAATTTCTGAAAATTGTCTTAAGGGCATATGGGAAATAGAGAAACATTCATTCAAGAAAATATGTTGAATCTTATTAAGAACAGCAAAAGTCTGGTCTTTGAGGAACAACCTGTTCCATATATCCCCCACCCCCATCCAAGTGTTACCTGAGTGTTCCACCCTGGATGCTCCATTCAGGGCCTGTATGCTGAAGATGATGGGGATAGGTGGGGCTCACTCTTCTCCCAGCTCCCATTCTGGGACTACAGTTTCACCCTGTCATGGCCAACTGTTTACATTTCTTATCCCACCCCTCAACCCCATACAAACACATGCTCAAACCTGTGTTGCAGAAACTCTATCCCAGGCAGACAAAGCCAAAAGGACTAGAGATGCCTTCTGCCACCCAGCCCTACCCCCACCCCCTTAGAGTAGAAATTCTATTCTATGCAAAGACTGAGAATAAGGGGGCCCTGATTTTCTCTATCCCAGCTTGCTCATAACATTGGAGGCATCACCCAAAGAAGGAAACTGGCAAATACGGGGGACTTCCACCCCACCCCATCACCCGTGAGTAAAATGATGATTTCATTTCAGGAAAAATGAGCCCCACCCTCAGCTTCAGTTCAGTGATGCAGAGGTTCTGCCCAAGGGGAAAGGCATGCAATAAAGACAACTCCATAGCTCTGCCTGTGGAAACTGACTTCATTTGGAACAGAGCATGAAGAACTTCATCCCTAAAGATGTTGTCAAAAACAGTGGATGGAGATCTTGGTGGAGATCAATTAAGGGAAGCTTGCACATGCAAAGGAACCAGAAGTTTAATAGAAACATGAAAGAGACAGCCAAGAAGAGCCGTCCTGAGAGTGCAGTCAACTATGGGGGTTGAAAAGTCTGTGTGCATGTGCTGGGTCTGCACCCACTCACGACAATCAGAGCAGAACATGGGACATACTTGAAAGCATTCCAATGCATGCAGACCCATCAACAGAAGGTGCAATCTTTACTGGCACAAGGAGTTTAAAAACAACCTTTGACCAAACACTGCAATAAGCTACTTTGACCCAGAAGTGACTCCCAGGAACAAGGATTAAAAATAAAATTACACTCATCCCTGGCAATCTGAAAGACTGTGTGTATGTTGAAGGTTGTGCCTTCTTAGGATGATCACACAGGGATCCTCCAAGCTTCTAGTCCCTGATGAATATGGGTGAAAATAAATTTCCTGAACTATTTATAACAGCCTCCAAACATGCACACATCCAGTCGTAAAGGGTAGAAATCCTATTGACGAATAAGTGCCTTGTGCTAACCTGGGGGCAACCCTTAGGTATTAATAGCTGAACTGAAAAATAGAGCTAACATCAGGCTGCACACTGTGGAGGAAATAACCAAAATCCCCCAGGAAAGGAGGATCAATATCCAGGATTGCTGTAAGATACTATCTAAAATGTCTAATTTACAAGAAAAAATTACAAGACATGGAAAGAAACAGGAAAGTGTGACCCATACACGGGGAAAAAGCAGGTGATAAAACACTGCCTTAGAAGTGGCCCAGATGACTTTTGTAGCAGGCAAAAGATTTGTCAACAAAGAGAATTTGTGTGTGTGTGTGTGTGTGTGTGTGTGTGTGTGTGTGTCTACAAATGGAAATTCTGGAGTTGAAAAGGTACAATAACTGAAATAAATTCACAAGAGTTCAGTAGTATATTTGAGCTGGCAGAAAAAAATCTGAACTTGAAGGAAGATCAGTGGAGATTATGCAGTCTGAAGAACAGAGAAAAAAGAATGGGGAAAAATAACAAGAGAAATGTGTACCAACATATGCACAGTACCAGGAGGAGAGAGGGGGACTAAAAACTGAAACTTACGAGAATACTTAAATTTGATGCAAAACATTAATCTACACATCAAAGGGGCCCAACAAATGTCAAGTAGGGTAAACAAAGAGACACATCAAATGTTGTGAGCAAAAAATGAGAAAATCTCAAAAGCAGTAAGAGAAAAATAGCTCATCACCTACAAAGAAACCCCAATATGGTTAACAAGTGAAGTTTCATCAGGAACAGTGAAGACCAGAAGATACAATGATGACATGTTCAAATTGCTGAAATTAAACAAAACTACCCAAATGAGAATATTATATCTAGCAAAACTCATTCAGAAATGAAGGTGAAATAAGATGTTCCCAGACAAATAAAAGGAAAACTCAATAGTAGTGACTTGCATTATAAGAAATAAAAAGGTAATTTTTCAGTCAAAAAGCAAGTGACACCAGACAGTGATTCAAATCCACGTGAAAAAAAAATAGGAAGCACCAGTAATGGCAATCATGTGAGTACTTTAAAAAGACAATTGCATGCTTCTTTTCCTTTCTTCTCTTAACTGACTTATAAAGCAACTGCATAAAACAATCTGTATATTATTATTTTATTGGGAATGAAACAAAGCTATGTAAGGAATGATACCAGGTAATATCTTGAATCCACAGGCATGAATGACGACAGCCAGAAATGGTATCTAAGAAGGCTAATATCACGAACTCTCTGCATATATATGTGTCCTTCTCTCAGCTTTTTAAAAAGGCAAGGTCATATAAAGATGATAATGTATTGGTTTGTAACATATATAGACATAATATGAATAACAATAGCACAAAACTGGGATGGAAAGCTATATAATAGTAAAATTTCTATATTTCACTGCAACTAATCCGTACAAATATGAAGTAAATTCTGGTAAGTTACAATGTATATTGTAATCCCTAGAACAATCACTAAGAAAGTTACTTTTAAAAATAAACTTTTTTTCAACATTTATTTTAGAATCGGGGTACATGTGGAGGTTTATTACAAAGGTATATTGTGTGATGCTAAGGTTTGGACTACAAGTGAATTTGTCACCCAGGTAGTCAGCATAGTACTCAATAGGTAGTCCTTTATAACCTTCACCCCTTCTCCCTCCCTTCTCTTGTATTCTGCAGCATCTGTTCCCATTTTTATAACCATATGTACCCCAGTGTTGAGCTCCCACTTATGAGAAGATGTGATATTTGGTTTGCAGTTTCTGCATTAGTTCACTTAGGGTAATGGTTTCCAGCTGCATCTGTGTTGCTGTGAAGGACATGATTTTGTTCTTTTTTATGGCTGCATAGTATTCCATGGTATATATTCACATGTACATAATCCAGTCCACCATTGATGGCCACCTGGATAGATTCCATGTTTCTGCTATGTGAATAGCACAGCAATAAACATACAAGTGCATGTGCCTTTTTGGTATAATGATCTATTTTTCTTTGGGTATATACCCAGTAATGGGATTACTGATTCAAATGGTAGTTCTGTTTTAAGTTCAAACTGCTTTCCACAGAGCCCGAATTAATTTGCATTCCCACCAGCAGTTTATAAGCATTCGCTTTTCTCTGCAGCCTCGCCGGCATCTGTTGTTTTTTGACTTTAGTCAAAAAATAGCCATTCTGACTAGTGTGAGATGGTATCTCAATGTGGTTTTGATTTGCATTTTTCTGATGATTAGTGATGATGAGCCTTTTTCATGTTTGTTGACCACTTATGTGTCTTCCTTTGAGAAGTGTCTGTTCATGTCATTTGCTCATGTTTATTTATTTTTTGAATGATTTCTATAACTTTTTTATTTTGATCTGTTCTAACATTCTTTTATTATTTAACATGATGAAATTAGATTTCTGTATAGTTTCTCTACTATAATTAATAAAAACCATTTCGGCTTTTAAAATTCTCATTTAGAAATTCTCCTGTCATATTTCTTTACTGAACATTTCCACTGCAAAAACAGAATCAAGACATTTAAAAACTTTTCATGATACCATTGTGCCTCATTTAAACTTTCAAACTTTTAAACTTTTCCTTTATTCTCTACCTCGGTGAGATTTCTAACCCCTTGGCATTGACTCTACCATTGCACACTTTGATTACTCAATTACTTGCTTCTATCTTGAGTTCAACTCCTATCCTGACTTTTTATTATTATTATTATTATTATTATTATTATTATTATTATTATTATACTTTAAGTTTCAGGGTACATGTGCACAATGTGCAGGATTGTTACATATGTATACATGTGCCATGTTGGTGTGCTGCACCCATTAACTCATCATTTAACATTGGGTATATCTCCTAATGCTATCCCTCCCCCCTGCCCCCAACCCACAACAGACCACACTGTGTGATGGTCCCCTTCCTGTGTCCATGTGTTCTCATTGTTCAATTCCCACCAATGAGTGAGAACATGCGGTGTTTGGTTTTTTATCCTTGAGATAGTTTGCTGAGAATGATGGCTTCCAGCTTCATCCATGTCCCTACAAAGGACATGAACTCATCCCTTTTTTATGGCTGCATAGTATTCCATGGTGTATACGTGCCACATTTTCTTAATCCAGTCTATCATTGTTGGACATTTGGGTTGGTGCCAAGTCTTTGCTATTGTGAATAGTGCCGCAATAAACATACGTGTGCATGTGTCTTTATAGCAGCATGATTTATAATCCTTTGGGTATATACCCAGTAATGGGATGGCTGGGTCAAATGGTATTTCTAGTTCTAGATCCCTGAGGAATCGCCACACTGACTTCCACAGTGGTTGAACTAGTTTACAGTCCCACCAACAGTGTAAAAGTGTTCCTATTTCTCCACATCCTCTCCAGCACCTGTTGTTTCCTGACTTTTTAATGATCACCATTCTAACTGGTGTGAGATGGTATCTCATTGCGGTTTTGATTTGCGTTTCTCTGATGACCAGTGATGATGAGCATTTTTTCATGTATCTGTTGGCTGCATAAATGTCTTCTTTGAGAAGTGTCTATTCATATCCTTCGCCCACTTTTTGATGGGTTGTTTGGTTTTTTCTTGTAAATTTGTTTGAGTTCATTGTAGATTCTGCATACTAGTCCTTTGTCAGATGAGTAGATTGCAAAAATTTTGTCCCATTCTGTAGGTTGCTTGTTCACTCTGATGGTAGTTTCTTTTGCTGTACAGAAGCTCTTTAGTTTAATTAGATCCCACTTGTCAATTTTGGCTGTTGTTGCCATTGCTTTTGGTGTTTTAAACATGAAGTCCTTGCCCATGCCTATGTCCTGAATGGTATTGCCTAGGTTTTCTTTTAGGGTTTTTATGGTCTTAGGTCTAACATTTAACTCTTTAATCCATCTTGAATTAATTTTTCTATAAGGTGTAAGGAAGGGATCCAGTTTCAGCTTTCTACATCTGGCTAGCCAGTTTTCCCAGCACCATTTATTAAACAGGGAATCCTTTTCCCATTTCTTGTTTTTGTCAGGTTTGTCAAAGATCAGATAGTTGTAGATAAGTGGCATTATTTCTGAGGGCTCTGTTCTATTCCATTGGTCTATATCTCTGTTTTGGTACCAGTACCATGCTGTTTTGGTTACTGTAGCCTTGTAGTATAGTTTGAAGTCGGGTAGCGTGATGCCTCCAGCTTTGTTCTTTTGGCTTAGGATTGACTTGGTAATGCGGGGTCTTTTTTAAAGTCCATATATATGAACTTTAAAGTAGTTTTTTCCAATTCCGTGAAGAAAGTCATGGGTAACTTGATGGGGATGGCATTGAATCTATAAATTACCTTGCCTTTGTCCATGTTTAATGGAGTTACTTGTTTTTTGCTTGTTGAATTGTTTATATTCCTTATAGATTCTGGATAATAGACCTTTTTCAGGTGCATACTTTGTGAATATTTTCTCCATTTTGTACATAGTCTTTTTACTTGCTTGATAGTTTATCTTGCTGTTCAGAAGCTCTTTAGTTTAATTAGGTCCCACTTGTCACTTTTTGTTTGGTTGTAATTGCTTTTGAGGACTTAGCCACAAATTCTTTGCCAAGTCTGATGTTGAGAAGGGCATTTCCTAAGTTTTCTTCTAGGATTTTTGTAGTTTGAGGTTTTAATCCATCTTCAGTTAATTTTTATATATGATGCTAGGTATGGGTCCAGTTTCAGTCTTCTGCATATGGCTAGCCAGTTATCCCAGCACCATTTATTGAATGGGGTGTCCTTTCCCCATTGCTTATTTTTGTCAACCGTGTTGAAGATTAGATGATTGTAGGTATGCAGCTTTATTTCTAGGTTCTTGATTATGTTCCATTGGTCTATGTGTCTTTTTTTTTTTTTTTGTATCAGTACCATGCTGTTTTCGTTACTATAGCCTTGTAGTATAGTTTGAAGTCAGGTAATGTGATGCCTCTGGCTTTGTTCTTTTTTTCTTTCTTTCTTTCTTTCTTTCTTTTTTTTTTTTTTTTTGGTTCCATATGAATTTTAGAATAGTTTTTTCTAATTTTGTAAAAAATTACATTGGTGGTTTGATAGAAATAGCATTGACTCTGTAAATTGCATTGGGCAGTATGGCCATTTTAATGATGCTGATTTTTCCAATCCATGGGCATGGAATATCTTCCATTTATTTGTGTCATCTCCGATGTCCTTTAGCAGTGTTTTGTAATTATCCTTATAGAAGTCCTTTACCTCTTTGGTTAGCTGTGTTCCTAGGTGTTTTATTCTTTAAAAAAAATCCTTAGAACATCATTAATAGGATCAAAATGTTACACTGCAAAATGTCCATGCATCAACTGTCCATGCATCAAATGACACTATGCATCAACTAGACCTAACAGACATCTATAGAACACGCCACCCAAAATCAGAATACATGTTGTTCAGGTGGGCCATAAAACAAGCCTCAGTAAATTTAAAGTGATTGAAATGGTACAAAGAATGTTCTCTGACCACAATAAGAATGAAATTAGAAATTATTAGTGGAGGGAAACTTGGAGATGTCATAAATATATGGAAATTTAAAAACATAATTTAAATATAGGATAAGGAAGAAATCACAAGGGAATTTAGAAAATACTCTGAGATAAATGAAAAGGAAAACACAAGAAAAACATGTGGAATGCAGCAAAAGCTGTGGCTAGGGGGAAGTTTATAGTTGTAAATACCTATATTTAAAAACAAGGAATATCTCAAATTAATAACAGCCATTCACATTAAGAAACTAGAAAAAAAGAGCAAACTAAATGCAAAGCAAGCAAAATAAAAGAAATATTAGAGCATAAATTAATGGAGGATAGAAAATCAGTAAATAAAATTAATAAAACTATGAATTGTTTTTTGAAATATCACAAAATTCTCAAGTCTTTTAACTACACTGGCAAGTAACAAAATACTTAAGACTCAGATGATTAAAATAGTGAAAGAGGAGACATCACTATGAATCCACAGAGGTAAAAAAAATATTTTAGAAGAGTACTATATATAAATGCCAACAAATTAGGAAACTTAGATGAAATGGACAATTTCATAAAAGGACACAAAACTGACTTAAGAAATAACATGAATAGATCTATAACAAGTAAAGAGAATAAATTACTAATAAAAACTACCCACAAAGACAAGCCCAGGCCTAGATGGCTTCCTCAGTGAATTCTACAAAATATTTAAAGAGGCACTGATACCAACACTTCACAAACTTTTTCAAGATATACAAGAGGAGAGAACTTTTCTCAGTTCATTCTGTGAGGCCAGTATTATCTTGAAACCATAACAAAAGACATCACAAGAAAACTTCAGATCAATTTTTCTTAGATATATAAATGCAGAAATCCTCAATGAAATACAAGCTAACTGAGTCCAACAACATTTTTAAAAAATCATATGGGAGAGGGAAGCAGAGCAACATGCCTGAATAGAGGCTTCCCACAATCATCCCGTCACCGCCCCCACAGGAACACCAAATTGAATAACTATCCACATGAAAAAGCACCTTCGTAAGAACCAAAAATCAGGCGACCAATCACAGTATCTGATTTTAAAATCATATTACGGAAGGAGGCACTGAAGAGGGTAGTCTCGAGTTGCCAACACCACTCCTCCCCCATCCCTCTGCAGCAGCAGGGGCCATGTGGCATAGAGGGAGAATCTGTGAGCTTTGAGGAGAGAGAGAGAACAGTGATAGTGGGACTTTGCATTTGAACTCAGTGCTGCACTGTCACAGCAGAAAGCAACACTGGACAGAACTCAGCCAACATCCACACAGGGAGTATATAGACCAGCCCTAGCCAGAGGCAAACTGTCCATTCCAGCACTGGCAACCTGAGTTCTGGCAAGCCCTGCCAAGGTGGGCTAAAGTGCTCTGGGGTTCTAAATAAACTTAAAAGGCAATCTAGGCCACAAGGACTGCAATTCCGGGGCAAGTCTTGGTGCTGTGCTGAACTCAAGGTCAGTGGATTTTAACTTGATCTAGTGAGACATCAGCCAGGGCTGTCAAGGGAGTGCTTACATCCCAGCTCCCTGACCCCAGACAGCACAGCTTGCAGCACTAGGAGAGACTCCTTTTTTTCTGCTTGAGGAGAGGAGAGGAGAGTAAAGAGAATTTAGTCTTGCAACATGGATACCAGCTCATACACAATAGGATAGGACACGAGGCAGAGTCCTGGGGCCCCCATTCCAGCCTCTACCTCCCGGATGACATTTCTAGACACACCCTGGGCCAGAATGGAACCCACTGCCTTGAAGGGAAGGACCCAGTCCTGGAAGAATTCACACCTTCTGAGAAAAGAGCACTGGGCCCCTGAATAATCAGCAGTAGTAGCCAGGCAGTACTCACCAAAGGCTTGAGTGAGACTCAGAGTTGTGTCAGTGAGTGTGACCCAGCATAATCCCGGCTGTGGTGGTTATAGGGAGAGACTCCTTCTGTTTGAGGGAAGTAAAGCAAAGAGTAAAGAGGACATTGTCTTACATCTTGGGTACCAGCTCAGCCACAGTGTGAGCACCAAGTGAGCTCTTGTGCTCCCCTGACTACAAGCCTTGCCTCTTGGACGGCATTTCTGGACCTGCCTTGGGCCAGAGGGGAGCACACTGCCCTGAAGGGAGAGACCCAGGCTGGCACCATTCACCGCAACCTGACTGAAGAGTGCTTGGACTTTGAGTGAGCATTGGTGGCAGCCTGGCAGTACTCCCTGCAGGCCTGGGGTGGTGATGGCCATGGAGAGCCTGAGGAAATGGGAGGAAAGACTAGGAAAGATTTTGTCTTGTGGCTTGAGTGTCAACTCACCCACATTAGAGTAGAGCAAGAGATAGAGTCCTAAAGTTTTGGACTCTAGGACCTGGTTCCTGGAAGGAATTTCTGGACCTAGCCAGGGCTGGGGGAAGCTCATTGCCCTGAAGGAAAGGACACAAGGCTGGCTGGATTTTCTACCTTCTGACTGAAGAGCCCTTGGTCCTTGAGTGAACATGAGTGGTGGCCAGGCAGTGGTCCCTTGCGGGCCTTCGATGAGACCAAGTGATGCGCTGCAATCGAGTCTGACTTAGTGCAGTCTTAGTAGTAGTGGCCCCAGGTATACTGGTGTCACCCCTTTCCCAGCTCCAGGCAGTTCAGCACGGAGAGAGAGAGACTCCATTTGTTTGCAGAAAAGGAAAGAGAACAAAAGCCTCTGCCTGTTAGTCTAAGGAATGCTCCCAGATCTTATACAAAACACCAAGTTGATGGTACCTCCACAAGTCTGCAAGAGCCACAGTGTTACTGGAATTGGGGTGCCCCCTAATGGAGATATGGCTGCAGTAACCAAATACTTAGATCACAATACCCAAGACCCTTTGGATGCTTAGAAATTCTTCTCAAGAAGGATGGATACAAAGAAGCCCAGACTGCAAAGACTACAATAAATACCTAAATCATCAATACCCAGACATGGATGAACATACATAAGTCAGGACCATTTAGGAACACATAACTTCACCAAACAAACTAAATAAGGCAGCAGTGACTAATCTCAGAGAGACAGAGATATGAGACCTTTCAGACACAGCATACAAAGCACTTGTTTTGATGGAGCTGAGTGAAATTCAAGATAACACAGAGACGAAATTTCAGTGGAAAGAAACAAAAAGAATCAAGCAGAAATTCTGGAAGTGAAAATTTTATTTGACATACTGAGAAATGTATCAGAGCCTCTTAGTAGCACAATTGATCAACCAGAGGGAAGAATTAGCTTAAAGACAGGCTATTTGAAAACATACAGTCAGAGGAGACAAACAAACAAACAAACAAAAAACAATAAAAAAGAAGGAAGCATGCCTACAAGACCTAGAAAATAGCCTCAAAAGGGCAATTCTAAGAGATAATGGCCCTGAAGAGGAAGTAGAGATAGAAATAGGGGAAGAAAGTTTATTCAAAGCGATAATAACAGAGAACTCCACAAACCTAGAGAAAGATATCAACATCCAAGTACAAGAAGGTTATACAAGATAAAGCAGATTTAACCCAAAGACTACCTCAAGGCATTTAATAATCAAACTACCAAAGCTCAAGGATAAAATGGACCCTAAAAGCAACAAGAGGAAAGAAACAATTCTCAGTGAAAACCTCACAGGCCTGGAGAGAGTGACATGACATATTTAACATACTGAAAGACAAAAACTTTTACCCTAGAAAATAATGTATCTGTCAAAAATATCCTTTAGGCATGAAAGAAAGAAAGACCTTCCCAGACAATCAAAAGCTGAGGGATTTCATCAACACCAGACCTGTCCTACAAGAAATGCTAAAGGGAGTACTTCAATCAGAAATAAAAGGATGTTAATGAGCAAAAGTAAATCATCTGAAGACACAAAACGCGCTGATAATAGTAAATACACAGAAAAACACAGACTTTTAGACCATTGTAATTGCAGTGTGTAAATCTATCTTAAGTAGAAAGACTAAAGGAAGAACAAATAAAAAGTAATAACTACAACAAAGTTAAAATGTAGAGTTTTTGTTACTTGTCTTTTTGTTTATGAAATCAGTAGTAAGTTGTCATCAGTTTAAAATAATGTCTTATAAGATAGTATTTGCAAGCCTCATGGTAACCTCAAATCAAAAAACATACACCACATACACACAAAAAAAGCAAGAAATTAAAACATATCACCAGAGAAAATCACCTTTACTAAAATGAAGACAGGAAAGAAGGAAGAGAAGACCACAAAGAACCAGAAAACACATAACAAAATGGCAGGAGCAAGTCCTTGCTTATCAATACTAACATTGAATGTAAATGGATGAAACTCTCCAATTAAAAGACATAGAGTTGGCTGAATGGATATACCCATAAGACCCAATACTCTTGCCTACAAAGAGCACACTTCCCCTATAAAGACACGTATAGACTGAAAATAAAGGGATGAACAAAGATATTCCATTCGAATGGAAACCCCAAAAAAAAAGAGCAGGAATAACTATACTTATATCAGGAAAAAATATATCACAAGACAAAACCTATAAAATAGAAAAGAAATGTCATTATATAGTAATAAAGGGGTAAATTCAGCAAAAGGATATAACAATTATAAATATGTAAATATAAATATGTAACCAACAATAGAGCACCCAGATATATAAAGAAAATATTACTAAAGAGTGGTAGACCACAATGCAATAATAGCTGGAGACTTCAACACCTCACTTTCAGCATTGGACAGAAAATCAACAAGGAGAGGGTTGCTGGCAAGATGGCCGAATAGGAACAGCTCTGGTCTGCAGTTCCCAGTGAGATCAACACAGAAGGTGAGTGATTTCTGCATTTCCAACTGAGGAGACACCTCCCAGTAGGGGCTGACAGGCATCTCATACAGGAGAGCTCTGGCTGGCATCTGACGGGTGCCCCTCTGGGACGAAGCTTCCAGAGGAAGGAACAGGCAGCAATCTTTGCTGGTCTGCATCCTCTGCTGGTGATACCCAGGCAAACAGGGTCTGGAGCGAACCTCCAGCAAACTCCAGCAGACCTGCAGCAGAGGGGCCTGACTGTTAGAAGGAAAAGTAACAAAGGGAAAGGAATAGTATCAGCATCAACAAAAAGGACGTCCACTCAGAGACCCCATCCAAAGGTCACTGACTTCAAAGACTAAAGGTACATAAATCCATGAACGTGGGGAGAAACAAGTGCAAAAAGGCTGAAAGTTCCAAAAACCAGAATGCCTCTTCTACAAAGAATCACAACTCCTCGCCAGCAAGGGGACAAAACTGGACAGCGAATGAGTTTGACAAGTTGACAGAATTAGGCCTCAGAAGGTGGGTAATGACAAACTCCTCTGAGCTAAAGGAGCATGTTCTCACCCAATGAAAGGAAGCTAAGAACCTTGAAAAAAGGGTAGACAAATTGCTAACTAGAATAACCAGTTTAGAGAAGAATGTAAATGACCTGATGGAGCTGAAAAACACAGCATGAGAACTTCGTGAAGCATACGCAAGTATCAATACCCAAATCAATCAAGCAGAAGAAAGAATATCAGACATTGAAGATCAACTCAATGAAATAAAGCGAGCAAACAAGTTTGGAGAAAAAAGAGTGAAAAGAAATGAACAAAGCCTCCAAGAAGTATGGGACTATGTGAAAAGACCAAACCTACGTTTGATTGGTGTACCTGAAAATGACGGGGAGAATCGAACGAAGTTGGAAAACACTCTTCATGATATTATCCAGAACTTCCCAATATAACAAGGCAGACCAACATTCAAATTCAGGAAATACAGAGAACACCACAAAGATACTCCTTGAGAAGAGCAATCCCAAGACATAATCAGATTCACCAAGGTTGAAATCAACGAAAAAATGTTAAGAGCATCTAGAGAGAAAGACCAGGTTACCCACAAAGGGAAGCCCATCAGACTAACAGTGGATCTATCAGCAGAAACCCTACAAGCCAGAAGAGAATGGGGGCCAATATTCAACATTCTTAAAGAAAGGAGTTTTCAACCCAAAATTTCATATCCAGCCAAACTAAGCCTCATAAGCAAAGGAGAAACAAAATCCTTTACAGAGAAAGAAATGCTGAGAGATTTTGTCACCAGCAGGCCTGCCCTACAATAGCTCCTGAAGGAAGCACTAAACATGGAAAGGAACAAGCGGTACCAGACACTGCAAAAACAAGCCAAATTGTAAAGACCATCTAGGCTATGAAGAAACCACATCAACTAATGGACAAAATAGCCAGCTAGCATCATAAAGACAGGATCAAATTCAGACATAACAATATTAACCTTAAATGTAAATGGGCTAAATGACCCTATTAAAAGACACAGACTGGCAAATTGGATAAAGAGTCAAGACCCATCAGCATGCTGCATTCAGGAGACCAATCTCTTGTGCAAAGACACACATAGGCTCAAAATAAAGGGATGGAGGAATATTTACCAAGCAAATGGAAAGAAAAAAAAAAAACAAGGTTTGCAATCCTAGTCTCTGATAAAACAAACTTTAAACCAACAAAGATCAAAAGAGACAAAGAAGGCCATTACATAATGGTAAAGGGATCAATTCAACAAGAAGAGCTAACTATCCTAAATATATATACACCCAATACAGGAGCACCCAGATTCATAAAGCAAGTCCTTAGAGACCTAGAAAGAGACTTAGACTCCCACACACTAATAATGGGAGACTTTAACACCCCACTGTCAATATTAGACAGATCAATGAGACAGGAGGTTAAAAAGGATATCCAGGACTTGAACTCAACTCTGGACCAAGCAGACCTAATAGACATCTATAGAACTCTGCACCCCAAATCAACAGAATATACATTCTTCTCAGCACCACATAGCACTTATTCCAAAATTGACCCATAATTGGAAGCAAAACACTCCTCAGCAAATGCAAAAGAATGGAAATCACAATAAACAGTCTCTCAGACCACAGTTCAATCAAGTTAGAACTCAGGATTAAGAAACTACTCAAAACCGCACAACTACATGGAAACTGAACAACTTGCTCCTTAATGACTACTGGGTAAATAATGAAATGAAGGCAGAAATCAAGATATTCTTTGAAACCAGTGAGAACAAAGACACAACATAGCAGAATCTCTGGGACATATTTAAAGCAGCATGTAGAGGGAAATTTATAGCACTAAATGCCTACAAGAGAAATCAGGAAAGATCTAAAATCGATGCCCTAATATAGCAATTAAAATAACTAGTTGAGAAGTAAGAGCAAACAAATTCAAAAGCTAGCAGAAGAAAAAAATAAGATCAGCAGAACTGAAGGAGATAGAGACACGAAAAACCCTTCAAAAAATCAATGAATCCAGGAGCTGTTTTTTTTAAAGATCAACAAAATAGACCACTAGCCAGACTAATATAGAAGAAAAGAGAGAATAATCAAATAGATGCAATAAAAGTGATAAAGAGGATATCACCACCGATCGCACAGAAATGCAAACTACCGTCAGAGGATACTATAAACACCTCTATGCAAATAAACTAGAAAATCTAGAAGAAATGCATAAATTCCTGGAAACATACACCCTCCCAAGGTGAAACCAGGTAGAAGTCAAATCCCTGAATAGACCAATAACAAGTCCTGAAATTGAGGCAGCAATTAATAGCCTACCAACCAAAAAATGTCCAGGGCCATACTGATTCACAGACAAATTCTACCAGAGGTACTGTAGGGGGTGCATGGCAACATATTCAACCTTATATATATGGTATTTGAGGTCGAGGTAGGGAAAAATATCACTATATGTACATTATTTGTGCATGAGAATGAAACTCCTTGACCCTGCAAACAGCACAGGGAGTGGAGTGTGTGGTGTGATAAGGAACACTGCAAACAGCCTCCTGAGAATGCGGTTTGAGTGCTTTTACAAAGCCACAGGTGTCTCAGGACCCGAACTCAAAAAAGGCATCTAGTGTATGTTTGTAGTTAATACAAGCCCTTTTAATAAATACTTGGCAGATGGATGCTGGGGCAGACTCTATTAGAAGAGCTGCCCCCAATCCCGCTCAGCTGGAATTGTCTGAGAACTCATTCTTGGTGTTCACTGCAAGCTGTAAGCTCTGCAAGGTAAAAAGAGGAGCTGGTACCATTACTTCTGAAACTATTCCAAACAATAGGAAAAGAGGGACTCCTCCCTAACTCATTTTATGAGGCCAGCATCATCCTGATACCAAAACCTGGCAGAGACACAACAAAAAAAGAAAATTTCAGGCCAATATCCCCGATGAACACTGATGCAAAAATCCTCAGTAAAATACTGGCAAACCGAATCCAGCAGCACATCAAAAAGCATATTCACCATGATCAAGTCACCACCATCGCTGGGATGCAAGGCTGGTTCAACATACACAAATCAATAAACATAATCCATCACATAAACACAACCAATGAAAAGAAACTACATGATTATCTCAATGGATGAAGAAAAGGCCTTTGACAAAATTCAACAGCCCTTCATGCTAAAAACTCTTAATAAACTAGGCACTAATGGAATGTATGTCAAAATAATAAGAGCTATTTATGACAAACGGACAGCCAATATCACAATGAATGGGCAAAAACTGGAAACATTCCCTTTGAAAACTGGCACAAGACAAGGATGTCTTCTCTCACCACTCCTATTCAACATAGTATTGGAAGTTCTGGCCAGGGCAATCAGGCAAGAGAAAGAAATAAAGGGTATTCAAATAGGAACAGAGGAAGTCAAATTGTCTCTGTTTGCAGATGACATGATTGTATATTTAGAAAACCCCATCATCTCAGCCCAAAATCTCCTTAAGCTGCTAAGCAAATAGAGCAAAGTCTCAGGATACAAAATCAATGTGCAAAATCACACGCATTCCTATACACCAATAACAGACAAATAGAGAGCCAAATCATGAGTGAACTCCCATTCACAATTGCTACAAAGAATAAAATACTTAGGAATCCAATTTACAAGGGATGTGAAGAACCTCTTCAAGGAGAACTACAAACCACTGCTGAAGGAAATAAGAGAGGACACAAACAAATGGAAAAACATTCCATACTCATGGATAGGAAGAATCAATATCATGAAAATGGCTACACTGCCCAAAGTAATTGATAGATTCAATGCTATCCCCATCAAGCTACCATTGACTTTCTTCACAGAATTGGAAAAAACTACCTTAAAGTTCACTGGAACCAAAAAAGAGCCTCCATAGCCAAGACAATCCTAAGGAAAAAGGACAAAGCTGGAGGCATCATGCTACCTGATTTCAAACTCTACTACAAGGCTACAGTAACCAAAACAGCATGGTACTGGGACCAAAACAGATATATAGACAAATGGAACAGAACAGAGGCCTCAGAAATAATGCCACATATCTACAACTATCTGATCTTTGACAAACCTGACAAAAACAAGCAATGGGGAAAGGATTCCCTATTTAATAAATGGTGTTAGGAAAACTGGCTAGCCATATGCAGAAAGCTGAAGCTGGATCCCTTCCTTACACCTTATACAAAAATTAACTCAAGGTGGATTAAAAACTTAAACATAAGACCTAAAACCATAAAAACCCTACAAGAAAACCTAGGCAATACCATTCAGGACATAGGCATGGGCAAAGACTTCATGACTAAAACATCAAAAGCAATGGTAACAAAAGCCAAAATTCACAAATAGGATCTGTTTAAACTGAAGACCTTCTGCACAGCAAAAGAAACTATTATCAGAGAGAACAGGCAACCTCCAGAATGGGAGAAAATTTTTGCAATCTATCCATCTGAGAAAGGGCTAATGTCCAGAATCTACAAAGAACTGAAACAAATTTACAAGAAAACAAACACCTCCATCAAAAAGTAGGTGAAGTATATGAACAGACTTCTCAAAAGAAGACATTTATGCAGCCAACAAACATATGAAAAAAAGCTCACCATCACTGCCCATTAGAGGAATGCAAATCAAAATCACAATGAGATACCATCTCACACCAGTTAGAATAGCAATCATTAAAATGTCAGGAAACAACAGATGCTGGAGAGAAAGTGGAGAAATAAGAATGTTTTTACTCTGTTGATGGGAGTGTAGATTAGTTCAACCATTGTGGAAGACAGTGTGGCGATTCCCCAAGCATCTAGAATTAGAAATACCATTTGACCCAGCAATCCCATTACTGGGTGTATACCCAAAGGATTTTAAATCATTCTACTATAAAGACACATGCACATGTATGTTTATTGTGACACTGTTAACAATAGAAAAGACTTGGAATCAACCCAAATGTCCATCAATGATAGACTGGGTAAAGAAATTGTGGCACATATACACCATGGAATACTATGCAGCCATAAAAAAGATGAGTTCATATACTTTGCAGGGACATGGATGAAGCTGGGAACCATCATTCTCAGCAAACTAGTACAAGAACAGAAAACCAAACACTGCATGTTCTCACTCATAAGTGGGAGTTGACCAACAAGAACACATGGACCAGGGAGGGGAACATCATACACCAGGCCTGTCAGAGGGTGGGGGGCTAGGGGAGGCATAGCATTAGGAGAAATACCTAATGTAGATGATGGGTTGATGGGTGCAGCAAACATCCATGGCACATGTATACCTGAGTAACAAACCTGCACGTTCTGCACATGTACCCCAGAACTTAAAATATAATAATAATAATAGAAAATCAACAGGAAAACATTGAACTTAATCTTCACTATAGAACGAATGGACCAAATAGATATTTACACAATATTTCATCCAATGGATACAGATTATACATTTATTTCCTCAGAACATGTATTATTATCAAGGATAGACCATATGTTAGGCCAAAAAGCAAGTCTTAAAATGTGAAAAAAAAAATCATGTATCTTCTCTGATCACAGTGAATAAAAGTAGAAATCAATAATGCAAAAAATTTGGAAACAATACAAACACATGGACGTTAATATTCTTCTGAATGACCAGTGGGTCATTAAAACAATTAAAAAGGAATCTGAAAAAACAAATGAAAATAGAAATATACCAAAACCTATTCTGTAAGATAACTCAAGAGCAGTACAAAGAGTGCAGTTTATAACTGTTAAGTGCCTATATCAAAAAAGTAGAAAAACTTCAAATAAATAACATAATGATGTAGCTTAAAGAATCAGAAAAGCAAGAGCAAATCCAATCCAGAATTAGTAGAAAAAAAGAAATAATGATCAGAGCAGAAATAAATGAAATTGAAACAAAGAAAACAATACAAAAGACCAATGAAACCAAAAGGTGGTGTTTATTTTGAAAAAATAAAATTGACAAATCTTTAGCCACACAAACTAACAAAATGATGGAGAAGACCCAAAGAAAAACAGACATGAAAAGGAGACATTACAACCCATATCACAGAAACTCAAAGAATGATTAGAGACTACTATGAGCAACTATTTGCCAATAAATTGGAAGATCTAGGAGAAAGGGACAAATTCTTAGACACATACAGCCTACCAAGATTGAACTATGAAGAAATCTAAAACCTGAGCATGTCAATAACAAGTAACAAGGTCAAAGCCATAATAAAGGGTCTCCAAACCAAGAAAAGCACAGGACTCGATGTATTCAGTGCTGGATTCAACTTAACATTTAAGGAACTAGTAATAGTCCTACTCAAAGTGTTTCAAAAAGTAGGAGGGAATACTTTCAGATTCATTCTATGAGGCCATTTTTACCCTGATATCCAAACCAGACAAAGAAACATTAAAAAAAAAAAAAAACTACTGTCCGATATCTGTAATAAACCATGATGCAAAAATCCTCAACAAAATGCTTGCAAACCAAATTCAACAAAACATTAAAAAGATTATTCATCATGACTGGAAGTTATCACAGCTATTCAAGAATGGATCAACTTATGCAAATCAATCAATGTGATTTATTATATCAACAGAATGAAAGACAAAATCTATATAGTCATTTCAATTGACGCTGAAAAAGCATTTGGTAAGATTAAATATCCTTTATGACAAAAGAAAAATCACTCTGAAAAAACTGGGGATAGAAAGAACCTACCTTTTCTCTCAAGCCTTGCCAGCATCTATTGGTTTTTGACTTTTTAGTAATAGCCATTCTGAGTGGTCTGAGATGGTATCTTATTGTGGTTTTTATTTGCACTTCTCTGAATATTTGTGATGCTGAGCATTTTTTCATATCTCTGTTAGCCACTTTTATTCCTTCTTTTGAGAAGTGTCTGTTCATGTCCTTTGCCCATTTATTTATCAATGAGGTTATTTGTTCATTGCTTGTTGATTTAAATTCCCTATAGATTCTGGATATTAGATCTTTGTCAAATGCCTCATTTGTGAATGTTTTCTCCCTTTCTATAAGGTTATCTACTTGCTCTGTTTATAATTTCTTTCACCTATACACTGTTGGTGAGAATGTAAATTAGTCCAGCCACCATGGAAAGCTGTTTGGATACTTCTCACAGAACTTAAAACATGGCTACCATTTGACACAGCAATCCCTTTACTGGGTACATACCCAAAAGAAATCATTCTACCAAAATTTCACATGCACTCATACATTCATTGCTGTGATATTCACAGTAACAAAGACATGAAATCAATCCAGGTGCTCATCAATGGTAGAATGAATAAGGAAAATGTGGTACATATACATGGGATACTATGCAGCCATATAAAAGAATGAGATCATGTACTTTGCAGCAACATGAATGGAGCTAGGGCCCATAGTCCTAAGCAAGTTAATGCAGGAGCAGAAAGCCAAATACCACATTTTTTCACTTGCAAGTGGGAGTTAAGCATTGAGCACACATGGACATCAATATGAAGCAACAAACACTGTAGACTGCTGTAGAGTAGAATGGAGGGTGTGGGTTTAAAAACTACCTATTGTGTATTATGCTCACTACCAGGTTGACAGGATCTGTATTACAGACCTCAGCATCATGCATATTTCTATGTAACAAATATGCACACATACCCCCTGTAACTAAAATAAAAGTTGAAATTTAAGAAAAAAAAGGAACATACCTGAACACAATAAAAGCCATATATGACAGACCACAACTAGTATCATACTGAATGGGGGAAAACTGAAAGCCTTTCCTCTAAGATCTGGAACACGAGAAGGATGCCCACTTTCACCACTGTTACTCAACATATAGAACCGATAAATTCTGTAAATTTGCAAGATACAAAGTTAGCATACAAAAATCCATTGCATTTCTTTATGCCAACAGTGAATAATCTGAAAAGGAAGTCAAAAAATAATTCCATTAACAATAGCTACAAATAAAATTAAATACCTAGCAATCAACCAAAGAAGTGAAAGACCTCTACAATGAAAATTATAAAACATTAATATAAGAAATTGAAGAGGACACAATAAATGGAAAGATATTCTGTGTTCATGTATTAGAAGAATCAATGTTGTTAAAATCTCCATACTACATAAAAGAACCTGCAAATTCAATGCATCCTTTATCAAAATACCAATAACATTCTTCACAGAAGTAGAAAATATTCTAAAACTTATTTGAAACCACAAAAGACCCAGAGTAGCCAAAGCTATCCTGAACAAAAGGAAAAAAACTGGAAAATCACACTATCTGACTTTAGATTATACTACAGAGCTATAGTAACCAAAACAGCATGATACTGGTATAAAAACAGACACATAGACCAATGGAAGAGAATAGAGAACTTAGAAATAAATTCATATATCTTCAATGAACTCAGTTTCAACAAAGGTGCCAAGAACATATATTGGGTAAAGTACCATCTCTTCAATAAATTGTGTTGTGAAAACTGGATATCCATATGCAAAAGAATGAAGATAGACCCCTATCTCTTGCCATATACAAAAATCCAATGAAAATATATTAAAGACTTAACTCTAAAACTGCAAACTATGAATCTACTAAAAAAATAAAATAAAACATTGGGGAAATTATCCAGTACATTGGAGTGAGCAAAGATTTTTTAAGTAATACCCCATAAGCATAGGCAACCAAAGCGAAAATGAACAAATGGAATCACTTCAAGTAAAAAAAAAAAAAAAAAACTTATTCATAGTGAAGCAAACAATCAACAAAGTGAAGAGAAAATCCCATAGAATGGGAGCGAAATTTTGCAAACTATCCATCTGACAAGGGATTCATAACCAAAAGATATGATAAGAAGCTCAGACAACTCAATGAGAAGTAATATAATAATGTGATTAAAAATGAGCCAAAGATCTGAATAGACATTTATCAAAAAAAGACATGCAAATGGAAAATGGGTATAAGAAAAGGTGCTCAGCATTATTGATCATCAAAGAAATACAAATGAAAACAACAATGAGATATCACCTCACTCCAGTTTAAATGGCTTTTATCAAAAGACATACAATAACAAATACTGGTAAGGATCTAAAAGTGGAACTACCACATGATCCAGCAATCCCACTGCTAGGTATGTCCCTTAAAGTAAGGAATTCAGTATATTGAAGAGATGTCTGTACTCTCATGTTTATTGCAGCACTATTCATCATAGCAACATTTAGAAGCAATCTAAGTGACTATCAAGAAAGAAAGAAAATCTGGTACATATACACCATGAAGTACTATTCAGCCATAAAAAATGAGGTCCTGTCATTTGCAACAACATGGATGGAACTGGAAGTCATTATGTTAAGTGAAATAAGCCAGGCACAGAAAGACAAACATCACATGTTCTCACTTATTTGTGAAAGCTAAAAATTAAAATAATTGAGCTGTCGGAGAGAGAAAGTAAAATGTTGGTTACCAGAGGCTGAGAAGTGTATTCGGGAGTTGGGGGGTGGGGGAAGTGGCAATGGTTAATGGGTACAAAAAAACCCAGAATGAATAAGATCTAGTATTTGGTAGCACAACAAGGTGACTATAGTGAATAATAAATTAATTATATACTTAAAAATAACTAGAAGGCTATGATTGGATTGTTGGTAATGCAAAGGGTAAATGCTTGAGGTGATGAATACTCCATTTACCCTGCTGTATTACACATTGCATGCCTGTATCAAAATATGTACCCCATAAATATATACACCTATGTGCCCACAAAAACTTAAAAAGGATTGTACAGCATGACCAAGCAGTATTTATCCCATAAATGGAAGGTTAATTTAACACTCAAAAATAAATCAAAGTAATAAACCATATTAATAGGATAAAGGATGAAAAAATAATCATTTTAATAGATACAGAAAAATCATTTGAAAAATGCAGAAAATGCACAACCCTTTCATGATTAAACAAAACCTTAATGAACTAGGAATATTTCTCAACCTAATGAATGTCATCTATGATAATTCCACAACTGACATTATACTCGATGGTGAAAGACTAAATGTTGAATACTTAAGATCAGGAATGAAACAAGAATGTTTGTGCTTACAATTTGTATTCATTATTGTACCGAAGTTTCTAACCAGGGCAATCAGGGAATAAAAAGAAAGTTGGAGGACTCTCACTTACCGGTTGTAAAACTTACCCCAAAGGTAATCAAGAGGTTGTGTGGTACTATCAAAAGGATGGAAATATACATCAGTGAAATAGGATTGAGAGTCCAGGAATAAACTCTTATGTTTATAATGAGTTCATTTCTGACAAGCATGCCAAAATTATTCAATGAGGAAAGAACATTCTCTTCAACAAAGCATGCTGTGACAATTGTATAATCACATGCAAAAGAATGCAGGTAGTCTTCTTCACTACATATATAAGAATTTACTCAAAGTAGATAATAAACCTAAATGTAAGAGCTGAAATTACAAAACTTTTACAAGAAAACACAGGAGGAAATCTTTACGACCTTGGATTAAACAATGGTTTTCTGATTTTAACACCAATAGCACAAGCAACAAAAAAGAAAATAGATAAACATCATCAAAATTAACAACTTTAGTGCTTCAAATGATACATCAAGAAAGTGAATTCTCAAAACTGGGGGGTCCATTCCAAGATGGCCGAATAGGAACAGCTCCAGTCTGCAGCTCCCAGCGTGATCGATGCAGAAGACGGGTGATTTCTGCATCTCCAACTGAGGTACCTGCTTCATCTCATTGGGAAGGGTTGGACAGTGGATGCAGCCCATGGAGGACGAGCCAAAACACGGTGGGGCATTGCCTCAATTGGGAAGCACAAGGGGTCGGGGGATTTCCCTTTCCTAGCCAAGGGAAGCCATGACAGACTGTATCTGGAAAAACGGGACACTCCTGCCTAAATACTGCACTTTTCCAATGGTCTTAGCAAACAGCACACCAGGAGATTATATCCCATGCATGGATCAGCAGGTCCCATGCCCACGGAGCCTTGCTCACTGCTAGTGCAACAGTCTGACATTGACCTGCAATGCAGCAGCCTGGCAGGGGGAGATGCATCCGCCATTGCTGAGGCTTGAGTAGGTAAACAAAGCAGGTGGGGAAGCTTGAACTGGGCGGAGCCCACCGCAGATCTACAAGGCCTGTTGCCTCTGTTGACTCCACCTCTGGGGTCAAGGCATAGCTGAACAAAAGGCAGCAGAAAATTCTGCACACTTAAACGTCCCTGTCTTAAACAGCTTTGAAGAGAGCAGTGGTTCTCCCAGCACAGAGTTTCAGATCTGAGAACAGACAGACTGCCTCAAGTGGGTCCCTGACCTCCGAGTAGCCTAACTGGAAGACACCTCCCAGTAGGGGCCGACTGACACCTCATACAGCCAGGTACCCCTCTGAGACAAAGCTTCCAGAGGAAGAATCAGGCAACAACATTTGCTGTTCTGCAATATTTGCGGTTCTGCAGCCTCCGCTGGTGATACCCAGGCAAACGGGATCTGGAGTGGACCTCCAGCAAACTCCAACAGACCTACAGCTGAGAGTCCTGACTGTTAGAAGGAAAACTAACAAACAGAAAGGAATAGCACCAACATCAACAAAAAGGACATCCACACCAAAACCCCATCTGTAGGTCACCATCATCAAAGACCAAAGGTAGATAAAACCACAAAGATGGGGAGAAACCAGAGCAGAAAAGCTGAAAATTCTGAAAACCAGAGTGCCTCTTCTCCAAAGGATTGCAGTTCCTCACCAGCAATGGAACAAAGCTGGATGGAGAATGACTTTGATGAGTTGACAGAAGTAGGCTTCAGATGGTCGGTAATAAGAAACTTCTCCGAGCTAAAGGAGGATGTTTGAACCACTGCAAGGAAGCTAGAAACCTTGAAAAAAGATTAGACAAATGGCTAACTAGAATAAACAGTGTAGAGAAGACCTAAATGACCTGATGGAGCTGAAAACCATGGCACGAGAACTACGTGACACATGCACAAGCTTCAGTAGCTGATTGGATCAAGTGGAAGAAAGGGTATCAGTGATTGAAGATGAAATTAATGAAATAAAGCAAGAAGAGAAGTTTAGAGAAAAAAGAGTAAAAAGAAATGAACAAAGCCTCCAAGAAATATGGGATTATCTGAAAAGACCCAATCTATATTTGATTGGTGTACCTGAAAGTGACAGGGAGAATGGAACCAAGTTGGAAAACATTCTTCAGGATACTATCCAGGAGAACTTTCCCAACCTAGAAAGGCAGGCCAACATTCAAATATAGGAAATACAGAGAACACCACGAAGATACTCCTCCAGAAGAACAACTACAAGACACATAATTGTCAGATTCACCAAGGTTAAAATGAACGAAAAAATGCTAAGGGCACCCAGAGAGGAAGTTCAAGTTACCCACAAAGGGAAGCCCATCAGACTAACAGGGGATCTCTCAGCAGAAACTCTACAGGCCAGAAGAGAGTGGGGGCCAATATTCAACATTCTTAAAAGAATTTTCAATCCAGAATTTCATATCCAGCCAAACTAAGCTCCATAAGTGAAGGAGAAATAAAATCTTTTACAGACAAGCAAATGCTGAGAGATTTTCTCACAACCAGGCCTACCTTAGAAGACCTCCTGAAAGAAACACTAAACATAGAAAGGAAAAACTGGTAACAGCCACTGCAAAAACATGCCAAATTGTAAAGACCATTGATGCTAGAAAGAAACTGCATCAACTAATGAACAAAATAACCAGCTAACATCATAATGACACGATCAAATTCACACATAATAATATTAAATGTAAATGGGATAAACGACCCAATTAAAAGACACAGATTGGCAAATTGGATAAAGAGTCAAGACCCATCAGTGTGCTGTATTCAGGAGACCCATCTTACATACATTGACACACATAGGCTCAAAATAAAGGGATGGAGGAATATTTACCAAGCAAATGGAAAGAAAAAAAAAAAAAAACAAGGGTTGCAATCCTAGTCTTTGATAAAACAGACTTTAAACCAACAAAGATCAAAAGAGACAAAGAAGACCATTACATAATGGTAAAGGGATCAATTCAACAAGAAGAGCTAACTATCCTAAATATATATGCACCCAATACAGGAGCACCCAGATTCATAAAGCAAGTCCTTAGAGACCTAGAAAGAGACTTAGACTCCCACACACTAATAATGGGAGACTTTAACACCTCACTGTCAATATTAGACAGATCAACGAGACAGGAGGTTAAAAAGGATATCCAGGACTTGAACTCAGCTCTGGACCAAGCAGACCTAATAGACATCTATAGAACTCTCCACCCCAAATCAACAGAATATACATTCTTCTCAGCACCACATCACACTTATTCCAAAATTGACCACATAGTTGGAGGTAAAGCACTCCTCAGCAAATGTAAAAGAATGGAAATCACAACAAATTGTCTCTCAGACCACAGTTCAATCAAATTAGAACTCAGGATTAAGAAACTACTCAAAACCGCACAACTGCATGGAAACTGAACTTGCTCCTTAATGACTACTGGGTAAATAATGAAATGAAGGCAGAAATCAAGATGTTCTTTGAAATCAATGAGAACAAAGACACAACATAGCAGAATCACTGGGACACATTCAAAGCAGTGTGTAGAGGGAAATTTATAGCAGTAAATGCCCACAAGAGAAAGCAGGAAAGATCTTAAATTGACACCCTAACATCACAATTAAAAGAACTAGAGAACCAAGAGCAAACAAATTCAAAAGCTAGCAGCCACAAATCTCCTTAAGCTGATAAGCAACTTCAGCAAAGTCTCAGGATACAAAATCAATGTGCAAAAATCACAAGCATACCTGTACACCAATAACAGACAAACAGAGCCAAATCATGAGTGAACTCTCATTCACAATTGCTACTAAGGGAATAAAATACCTAAGAATCCAACTTACAAGAGATTTGAAGGACCTCTTCAAGGAGAACTACAAACCACTGCTCAATGAAATAAAAAAGGACACAAACAAATGGAATCACATTCCATGATCATGGATAGGAAGAATCAATATCGTGAAAATGGCCATACTGCCCAAGGATATTTATAGATTCAATGCCATCCCCATCAAGCTACCAACGACTTTCTTCACAGAATTGGAAAAAACTACTTTAAAGTTCATATGGAACCAAAAAAGAGCCTGCATTGCCAAGACAATCCTAAGCCAAAAGAACAAAGCTGGAGGCATCATGCTACCTGATTTCAAACTCTACTACAAGGCTACAGTAACCAAAACAGCATGGTACTGGGACCAAAACAGAGATATAGACCAATGGAACAGAACAGAGGCCTCAGAAGTAACACCACACATCTACAACCATCTGATCTTTGACAAACCTGACAAAAACAAGCAATGGGGAAAGGATTCCCTATTTAATAAATGGTGCTGGGAAAACTGGATAGCCATATGCAGAAAGCTGAAGCTGGATCCCTTCCTTACACCTTATACAAAAATTAATTCAAGATGGATTAAAGACTTAAATGTTAGACCGAAAACCCTAAAAACCCTAGAAGAAAACCTAGGCAATACCATTCAGGTCATAGGCATGGGCAAGGACTTCATGACTAAAACACCAAAAGCAATGGCAACAAAAGCCAAAATTGACAAATGGGATCTAATTAAACTAAAGAGCTTCTGCACAGCAAAAGAAACTACCATTAGAGTGAACAGGCAACCTACAGAATGGGAGAAAATTTTTGCAATCTACCCATCTGACAAAGGGCTAATATCCAGAATCTACAAAGAACTCAAACAAATTTGCCAGAAAAAAAAAAAAACCCTATCAAACAGTGGGCAAAGGCTATGAACAGACACTTCTCAAAAGAAGACATTTATGCAGCCAACAGACACATGAAAAAATGCTCATCATCACTGGTCATCAGAGAAATGCAAATCAAAACCACAATGAGATACCATCTCATACCAGTTGGAATGGCAATCATTAAAATGTCAGGAAACAACAGATGCTGGAGAGGATGTGGAGAAATAGGAACGCTTTAATACTGTTGGTGGGACTGTAAATTAGTTCAACCATTGTGGAAGACAGTGTGGTGATTCCTCAAGGATCTAGAACTAGAAATACCATTTGACCCAGAGATCCCATTCCTGGGTATATACCCAAGGGATTATAAATCATGCTACTATAAAGATACATGCACATGTATGTTTATTGTGGCACTATTCACAATAGCAAAGACTTGGAACCAACCCAAGTGTCTATCAATGATACACTGGGTTAAGAAAATGTGGCACATATACACCATGGAATACTATACAGCCATAAAAACAGGATGAGTTCATGTCCTTTGCAGGGACATGTATGAAGGCAGAAACCATCATTCTGAGCAAACTGTCACAAGGACAGAAAACCAAACACCACATATTCTCACTCATAGGTGGGAATTGAACAGTGAGAACACTTGGACACAGGGTGGGGAACATCCCACACTGGGGCCTGTCGGGGGATGGGGGACTGGGGTAAGGATAACATTAGGAGAAATACCTAATGTAAATGACGAATTATTGGGTGCAGCAAACCAACATGGCACAAGTATACCTATATAACAAACCTGCAAGTTGTGCACATGTACCCTAGAACTTAAAGTATAATAAAAAAAAAAGTAAGCAAAAAAAAGTGAATTCTCCTTTAGAATGGAAGAAAATATTTTGTAAATCATATATCTGATAGGATACCCTATACAGAAAATATAAAAATATATAAATATAACTCAATAATAAAAAGCCTAATAACCCAATTAAAAGATAGAAGCCAGGCACAGTTGCACATGCCTGTGGTCCCAGCTCTCGGCTGGAGCCCATGAGTTTTAATCCAGCTTGGGAAACATAGAGATCCTTATCAGTAAAAAAAAAAAAAAAAAAAAAAAAAAAAAAAAAAAAAAAAAAAAACAGGAAAATCTGAATAGAAATTCCTCAAGTAAGATAAACAATTGGCCAATAAGCATATGACAAGATGCTCAATATGATTAGCTGTTAGGGAAATGCAAGTGAAATCTATAGTGAGATACCACTTTGCACTCCCTAGGATGGCTATAACAAAGACACAATAAATATGTTGTCAAGAATGTGGAGAAATTGGAGCCCTCATGTATTGCTGGTGCAAATGTAAAATGGTGCAATTGCTTTGGAAAACAGTGACTGACTGTTTCTCAAAAAAATTCAACATAGCATTACTATATGACCCAAAAATTCCAGTCCTAGATGTTGACATACCCAGGTGAGCTGAAAACAGGTCTACACAAAAACTTATACATGAACATTTATAGTAATATCATTCACAATAGCCAAAAAATGTAAACAACCCATGAGTCCACCAACTGATGCATGTATGAATAAACTCTCATATCCTTGGCCGGGTACAGTGGCTCATGCCTGTAATCCCAGCACTTTGGGAGGCTGAGGTGGGTAGATTATGAAGTCAGGAGATCGAGACCATCCTGGCTAGAACGGTGAAACCCCATCTCTAGTAAAAACACATAAAATTAGCCAGGCGTGGTGGCTGGCGCCTGTAGTCCCAGCTACTCAGGAGGTTGAGGCAGGAGAATGGTGTGAACCCAGGAGGCAGAGCTTGCAGTAAGCCAAGATTGTGCCACTGCACTCCAGCCTGGGTGACAGAGCGAGACTCCGTCTCAAAAAAAAAAAAAAAATCTCATATCCTCATACTATAGAATATCATTTGACAATAGAAAACAAAGAAGCACTAGTACATGCTACAGCATTGATTAACCTTGTAAACATGCTATTTCAAAGAAGCAAGTCACAAAAGTCCACATATTGTATGGTTCCCTTCCATAACTTGCAAATCTATAGAGGCAGAAGGTAGACTAATGGTTGTATAGCACTTGGAGTGGGTGAGAGTGTGTTGTGGGGGAATGGAAATTGTTATTAATGGGTTAGAGTTAAGTATATTGACTATAGCCTGTGTTGTCATGTGATTCATGACACAAAATGTGTTTTGTACATATCCTGACATTGTAGTATGTTGCAAGTATTTTACTTCCATATTCCAATAAGTCATGCCATTTAAGTAAGAAACTGGGATCCTCAAGCAGTTTTTCTTCTGGCTTTAGTTATAGGAGTTATATGGTTTAGCTCTGTGTCCCCACCCAAATCTCATCTTGAATTGTACTTCCATAATTCCCATGTGTTGTGAGATGGACCCAGTGGAAGATAATTGAATCATTGGGGCAGTTTCCCCCATACTGTTCTCATGGTAGTGAATAAGTCTCACAAGATCTGATGGTTTTATAAGGGGAAACTCATTTTGCTTGGCTCTCATTCTTTTTGCCTGCTGCCATCCACATAAGATGTGACTTGTTCCTCCTTGCCTTCCACCATGACTGTGAGGCCTCCCCAGCCACGTGGAACTGTAAGTCCAATTAAACCTCTTTCTTTTGTAAATTGCCCAGTCTCAGGTATGTCTTTATTGGCAGCGTGAAAATGGACTAATGCAGTAAATTGGTACCAGTACAGTGAGGCATTGCTGAAAAGATACCCAAAAATGTGGAAGCAACTTTGGAACTGGGTAACAGGCAGAGGTTGGAACAGTTTGGAGGCCTCTGAAGAAGACAGGCAAATGTGGGAAAGTTTGGAACTTTCTAGAGACTTGTTGAATGGCTTTGACCAAAAGCTTGATAGTGATATGAACAATAATGTCCAGGCTTAGGTGGTCTCAGATGGAGATAAGAAATTTGTTGGGAACTGGAGCAATGGTGACTCTTGTTATGTTTTAGCAAAAAGACTGGTTGCATTTTGCTCTTACCCTAGATTTGTGGAACTTTGAACTTGAAAAAGATAATATAGGTTATCTGGTGGAAGAAATTTCTGAGCAGCAAAGCATTCAAGAGGCTACTTGGGTGCTATTAAAGGCATTCAGTTTTATAAGGGAAGCAGAGCATAAAGTTTTGAAAAATTTGCAGACTGATAATGCAATAGAAAAGGAAAAACCCATTTTCTGAGGAGAAATTCAAGCTGGCTGCAGAAAATTGCATAACTAATGAGGAGCTGAATGTTAATCTCCAAGACAATGGAGAAAATATCTCCAGGGCATGTCAGAGGTCTTCACGGCAGCCCCTCCCATCACAGGCCCGGAGGCCTAGGAGAAAATGATTTTGTGGGCCAGGCCCAGGGTCCCTGTGCTATGTGCAGTGTACGGACTTGGTGCTCTGTGTCCTATCCACTCCAGCTGTGGCTGAAAGGGACCAACACAGAGCTTTGGCTGTGGCTTCAGAGAGTGTAAGCCCCAAACCTTGGCAGCTTCTACATGGTGTTGATCCTTTGGGTGCACAAAAGTCAAGAATTGAGGTTTGGGAACTTCTGCCTAGATTTCAGAGGATGTATGGAAACCCCTGGATGGCCAGGCAGAAGTTTGCTGCAGGGGTGGGGCTCTCATGGAGAACCTCTGCTAGGGCATTGCGGAAAGGAAAGGTGGGGTCAGAGCCCCCACACAGACTCCCACCACCTAGTGGAGCTGTGAGAAGAGGGCCACCATCCTCCAGACCCCAGAATGGTAGTTCCACCAACAACTTGCACTGTGCACCTGGAAAAGCTGCAGACAACCAATGCCAACTCGTGAAAGCATCCAGGAGAGAGGTTGTACCCTGCAAAGCCACAGGGGTGGAGCTGCCCAAGACCATGGGAACCCACCTCTTGCATCAGTGTGACCTGGATATGAGACATGGAGTCAAAAAATATCATTTTGGAGCTTTAAGATTTGACTGCCCTTCTGGATTTCAGACTCACATGGGGCTGGTAGCCCCTTTGTTTGGCTAATTCCTCCTAATTGGAATGGCTGTATTTACCCAATGCCTGTGCCCCCATTGTATCTAGGAAATAACTAACTTGCTTTTTATTTTACAGGCTCATAGGTGGAAGGGACTTGCCTTGTCTCAGATGAGACTTTGGACGGTGGACTTTTGAATTAATGCTGAAATCCGTTAAGACTTTGGGGGACTGTTGGAAGGCATGATTGGTTTTCAAATGTAAGGATGTGAGATTTGGGAGGGGTCAGAGTCAGAATGATATGGTTTGGCTTTGTGTCCCCACCCAAATTTAATCTTGAATTGTACTCCTATAATTCCCATGTATTGTGGGATGGACCTGGCGGGAGATAATTGAATCATGGGGGCAGTTTCCCCCATACTTTTCTCGTGGTAGTGAATAAGTCTCACAAGATCTGATGGTTTGATAAAGGGAAACTCATTTCACTTGGCTCTCATTCTCTCTTTTTTCTGCTGCCATCCACATAAGATGTGACTTGCTCCTCCTTGCCTTCCACCATGATTGTGAGGCCTACCCAGCCATATGGAACTGTAACTCCAATTAAACCTCTTTCTTTTGTAAATTGCCCAGTCTTGGGTATGTCTTTATCAGCAGCATGAAAATGGACAAATATAAGGAGTCTCCAACTGCTACTTCCAAAAGTTTATTTACCATGCTTAAAATAGTTTTAATAAAGATGATTTAAAACAAAAAATTCATGGCAGGTGCAGTGACTAGCACCTGTAATCCCAGCACTTTGGGAGGCTGAGGTAGGTTGATCACCTGAGGTCAGGAGTTCAAAACCAGCCTGGCCAACATGGTGAAACCCCATCTCTACTAAAGATGCAAAAATTAACCAGGCATGGTGGTGCATGCCTGTAGTCCCAGGTACTCGAGAGGCTGAGGCAGGAGAATTGCTTGAACCCGTGAGGTGGAGGTTGCAGTGTGCCAAGATCATGCCACTGCACTCCAGCCTGGGTGACAGAAGCGAAACTCCATCCAAAAAATAAAAAACAAACAAACCTCTACACATGCTGCCCTTAACTTTAGTAATAAAAAAAAAACCTTTCTTCCACTAATAATATTAAATGCCAAGTTGTCTATAAGGAAGAGCCACTGCATAAAATAGAAACTGCAAGTTTTTACATAGGATGCAGCTGTAAAAACTGTAATCATTTTATAGTTGTCTAGAATATCACAGTAGGAAGAAAACTAAGATGATTTAGTTTATGGATTAGCAAACGTTTTTAGTAAAGACCAGATAGTCAATATTGTGGCTTTAATGGTCAAATGGTCTTTATGACAACTAATGGACTCTGCCTTTGCAATGCAAATGCAGCCATAGACAAAACATAAATGCACGAGGGTCACTATGTTCCAAAAAACTTTATTTATAAAATCACCTTCAGAAGCTGGCCAGATTTTGCCAACCTCTTATTTATTCTAAACCCCTTATGTCTCTGTATAAGGAATTGAGAGAATAGAGGAGATGTGTCTACCTCAGCCAAGTTTATTAAGTAGTTCAAAGGCAGAGCTAGGACTAGAATTCAATTCAGCTCTCTTCTTCACTGTGCCATGTTTAAGCAGTGAGGCTAGAGGTGACTATTTGTCACCAGTAATCTGATCATATTTTCCCCGATTTGAATTTATCAAATAATTGGAATGCATAATTAACTTTTTTGTTTACATTCTACTGAGTCTTAGAAATTGATGGATATTAAAATCAATGTACAAAAGTGACAAGCATTCCTACACACCAGCAACAGACAAGCAGAGAGCCAAATCATTAATAAACTCCCATTCACAATTGCTACAAGGAGAACAAAATACCTAGGAATACAGTTAACAACAGAAGTGAAGGACCTCTTCAAGGAGAGCTACAAACCACTGCTCAAGGAAGTCAGAGAGGACACAAACAAATAGAAAAACATTCCCTGTTCATGGATAGGAAGAATCAATATCATGAAAATGGCCAAACTGCCCAAAGTAATTTATAGATTCAATGCTATTCCCATCAAGCTACCATTGACTTTCTTCAAAGAATTAGAAAAAAACCACTTTAAATTTCATATGGAATGAAAAAAGGGCCTGTATAGCCAAGAGAGTCCTAAGCAAAAAGAACAAAGCTGGAGGCATCATGCTACCTGTCTTCAAACTATACTAGAAGGCTGCAATAACCAAAACAGCATGGTAATGGTACCAAAATAGACCAATGAAACAGAACAGAGGCCTCAGAAATAACACCACACATCTACAACCATCTGATCTTTGGCAAACCTGCCAAAAACAAGCAATGGGGAAAGGATTCTCTATTTAATAAATGCTGCAGGGAAAAACTGGATATCCATATGGAGAAAATTGAAACTGGACCCCTTCCTTACACATTATACAAAAATTAACTCAAGATGAATTAAAGACTTAAATGTAAAACCCAAAACTAGAAAAACCTTAGAAGAAAATCTAGGCAATACCATTCATGACATAGGCACAGGCAAAGATTTCATGACAAAACAACCAAAAGCAATTACAACAAAAGCAAAAATTGACAAATGAGATCTAATTAAACTAAAGAGCTTCTGCATAGCAAAAGAAACTATAATCAGAGTGAACAGGCAAGTTGCAGAGTGGGAGAAAATTTTTACAATCTATCCATCTGACAAAGGCATAATATCCAGAATCTACAAAGAACTTAAATTTACAAGAAGAAAATGAACATTCCCATTAAAAAGTGGGCAAAAGACATGAACAGACACTTCTCAAAAGAAGACAATTATGTGACCAACAAACATGAAAAAAAAGCTCAATATCACTGATCATTAGAGAAATGCAAATCAAAACCACAATGAGATACCATCTCACTCCAATCAGAATGGTGATTAAAAAGTCAGGAAACAGCAGATGCTTACAAGGTTGCAGAGAAATAGGAATGCTTTTACACTGTTGCTGGGAATGTAAATTAGTTCAACTATTGTGGAAGATGGTGTGGCAATTCCTCAAAGATCTAGAACCAGAAATACCATTTGACCCAGCAATCCCATTACTGGGCATATACCCAAAAGAATATAAATCATTCTATTACAAAGATACGTGCATGCATATGTTCATTGCAGTACTATTTGCAATAGCAAAGACATGGAATCAATCCAAATGCCCATCAATGATAGATGGATAAAGAAAGTGTGGTACATATACACCATGGAATACTATGCAGCCATAAAAAGGAATGAGATTATATCCTTTGCACAGACATGGATAGAACTGGAAGCCATTATCCTCAGCAAACTAACACAGGGACAAAAAACCAAACACCACGTGTTCTCACTTATAAGTGAGAGCTGAAGAATGAGAACACATGGACCCAGGGAGGGGAACAACACACACTGGGGCCTGTCAGAGGGTGGGTTGGAGGGAGGGAGAATTTTAGGAACAATAGTTAATGCATGCTGGGCTTAATACCGAGGTGATGGGTTCACAGGTGCCACAAACCACCATGGCACACATTTACATAGGTAACAATCCTGCACATCTTGCACATGTACCCCAGAACTTAATAAAAATAAAAATTAAAAAGGAAAAATATTGATGTATATTGAGTTAGTAGTATTAGAGTATATAGTGTTATATTTTAGGCTTTTAGGGCACTTATTTAAGGAATGAATATAATATTCATCTCTCAGGGATTGTAGTACAATAGGGAGTGTATATAGTATTATATTTTAGGCTTTTAGGACACATATTTAAGGAATGAATATAGTATTCATCTCTCAGAGAATATAGTACAATAGAGAGTGTACAATACTACATTATGCTATATTTCTCAGGGAATATAGTATAGTAAGGAGCGTTTAAACTATAAAATGTTTTTTTAAGCCAGAATGGAACAAGTCCAGACAACCAGCACATGCGTAAAAAAGCAAATGGCTTTGTAATTCAAAGATATATCTTAGAACAATAGCTCTTACACTGGAATTTTCACAGAATTCTGGTGAGGTCTAAATGAGATAATGAATGTGATTATTTGCATGTGGTGATGTGCTATGCATATGAAAAGACTAATTGTTTCATAGCCAATGAGGAAACAGAGGCCTAATTTTCTGCTATCTCTACCCTACCTCATAGTTTTAAGAACTAGGCAGAGGTGTATGTTTACAGATACTTTCCTGAGTTGACACCAATTAATGGAGATACTAAGAGAAGAAGTGTTCAGTTTGAGTTTAATTATGGAATTAATAGTGGACCAGTGTGCTAGAAACTGGAAAATACACAAAATAGGTACTGTAGATTTATAGGCTAATAGTAGCAATTGGTTTAGCAAGGATGTTAATTCTTTCAGCCAAAGTTAAGCCGTTTGGCCCCTCCTAGATGATATTTTTAAAAGTCTGAATTTTTCTGAGCATGGCAGCTACAATTTTTAGGAGTTGAGAGCTATGGGATATAATTACTTCTAACTTTATTGTATCCAAAAGAAGATTTGGAAGAAAACACGTTGGGCTTTTGTAATAAAAGAAAAAATGATGTAATCGTGCTTTTCTTTCATATGTTGAACCTTGTCAGAGCTTAGTAAGGTAGCAGCCTCCAGGTATTCCCAGGTACCACTTAAGTGGCATCAAATTAATACAACTTAGACAGCCAATTTGTATTTACCTATTTATTGTAAATGTACCTGTTATAGTGCCACTAAATGTTGCTTATACACAACACTGAAGATCTTAAAATAACTAAGAAGCCTAATGTCCCCCCTCTTTTACTCTATTGAACTTAGCCTCTGAAGGTGTAATAGTTTTCTGGTCTTCATCTAATTCTTTATTCTCGGAACTTATCAATTAAAATGGGTAATCTGTCTTCCTTTGGGCTTTATTACATTTAATATTTTGAGACAATCACTAGCCTGTACAGTTTAGGTGTCCTAAGATAGTAAAGCTAAAAACAAGCAAAAGAAAACCCCTGGCCTTTCAGATACTAGTTTAAATCTGTTTTCACAACTTCTCTTACTAAGGTCACATGGGAACTACTTTGTATCTCACCTCAAGAATTACAGTAGAGATTCATCACACTATTTGTGGAAGATAAATTTATAGAAGATTTATATTCCTAATTAGCCCAGTTAATTCTAATTGGCTTCTTCTGTGTTCAGGTTTGAATATGCCTTTGCTAACCAAGCCTGTGGGGCTTACTTCTAGGACTTAGGAGAGAGTTCCCCGGCAGTGCTTAGCAAATCAGGAGCCAGAGGAACAAAATTAAATTATGAAAAATTAAAACCATTGAAAGTGCAATATATTTGCTTTCATCAATATCCTGAGTAAGAAATAACAGATTTTCAAAGACTTTACATTTCTATTCTTTCCTTTTGACCTATGCTCTACTTGTGGCTTGGCAACAATGCTTCTAAAAAGATTTTTATTTGTTGGAAAAACATTGACAGTATTAAGGAACGTTATATGTCTCATGGCTCCCCATTGATTAGAAACAACTTATTTCTATTGAGAAGTCATCAGGCTAAAAAAAACCTGAAGAAGAACAATGCAAATCCCATATTGCTTGAAACAGTAATGTAATTTTACAAAACTTACTAACTATATACTTTCTTACCCATAGAAAAAATAGTCATTCTTGTAAAGATCAACATGTGGCAGTGTCCAAATATGGATGAATGGAGGGGAGCAGAGCAAGATGGTGGAATAGAAAGCTCCACCAATTATCCTCTCCTGCAAGGATGCCAAGTTAGCAACTATCTACACAGACAAAACACTTTCATGAAAACCAATTATCAGGTACCAGCATGGCCACAGAAGAGTGGATCACCAAGCGGGTTCCTGGGGTTCCCAGTTTCTGGACTTGACTCTTTGATGGCATTTCTGGACCTGCCCTGGGCCAGAGAGGAGTCCAATTCCCTGAAGGGTGATTCCTAGGTCAGGCAGCATTTATGACAAGCTGACTTAAGAGACCTTAGGTCTTAATGGAACATCCTCAGTAGTCTAGCAGTGGTCCTTGTGGCCTGGGGTGGTGGTGACTACAGGGTGAGGCTCCTCTGCCTTTGGAAATGGGAGGGAAGAGTGGGAAGGGCAGTGTTCTGTGGTTTGAGAGCCAACTCAGTTGCAATACAATAGAACAGTTAGACATCTAAGGTTTTTTACTCTAGTCTCTGACTCTCAGACAACACTTCTGGACCCACCTGGGGCTTGGGGAGGGGGGACCTTGACACACTGAAGGAAAGGACACAGGCCTGGCTGGGTTTGACACCTGCAAATTGTAGAACTCAAGGGCCTTGAGGGAACACAGGCAGTAGCTAGGGAGTAGTTGCAGTAGGCCTTTGGGCAACACCTAGCATGGTGTTGGCTTCAGGTCTGACCCAATGCATCAATAGTCATGGTGGGCAAAGGTTGCTTGTGTCACTCTATGTCTAGTTTTAAGTGGGTCAGAATAAAGGAAGAGAGACTCTATAAGTTCAGAAGAAAAAAAGGAAAAAGAACAGGAGTTTCTGCCTGGCCAGAGAATTCTCCTGGATCTTGTCCAAGACCATCTATGAGTCTGCAAGAGCCACAGTGTGACAGGACTTGGAATGCCTTCTAAAGAAAATATAGCTTAGATCACAACACCCAAGTCCATTCAAATATCTGAAAAAGCCTTTTCAAGAATAGCTACAAATAAGCCCAGACAGAGAAGACTACAATAAATACCTAACCCTTCAATACCCAGACACCAAAGAACATCTACTAATATCAACACCATCCAGGAAAACATGACCTCATGAAATGAGCTAAATAAGCCATCGGGGCCAATCCTGGAGAAACAGATATGTGACCTTTCAGACAGAGAATGCAAAATAGCTGTATTTTTAAAAACTCAAAGAAATTCAAGATAACATACAGCAAAGATTCAGAATCCTATCAGATAAATTTAACAAAGAGATTAAAATAATTAAAAAAGAATCAGCTGAAGAATGCATCAGAGTCCTTTAACAGCAGAATTGATAGAGTAGAAGAAATAATTAGGGAACTTGAAGACAGGCTATTTGTAAGTACACAAAGAAAAAAGAAAAAAATAAATAACAATGAAGCATGCCTACAGGATCTAGAAAACAGCTCAAAAGGGCAAATCTAAGTGTTATCGGCCTTAAAGAGAATGTAGAGAAAGAGGTAGGGGTAGAAAGTTAATGCCAAGGGATGACAGAGAACTTCCCAAACCTAGAGAAAGATATCAATATCCAAGTACAAGAAGGTTATAGAACACCAAGAAGATTTAATGCAAAAAAGACTACCTCAAAACATTTAATAATCAAACTCCTAAAGGTCAAGGATAAAGAAAGGATCCTAAAAGCATCAAGAGAAAACAAACAAATAACATACAGTGGAACTCCAATATGTCTGGTAGCAGAATCTTCAGTTGAAACCTTACAGGTCAGGAGAGAGTGGCATGACATATTTGAAGTGCTGAAGAAAAAAAATAAAATGTTTACCCTAGAATAGTATATATAGTGAAAATATCCTTCAAACATGAAGGATAAATAAAGACTTTCCCAGACAAAGAAAGGCTGAGGAATTTCATCAATACCAGACCTATCCTGCAAAACATGCTAAAGGGAGTACTTTAATCAGAAAGAAAAGGAAATTAATGAGAAATAAATAGTCACCTGAGGGAACAAAACTCACTAGTAATAGTAAGTACACAGAAAAACACAGAATATTATATCACTAACTGTGGTGTGTAAACTACTCATCCTAAGGAAAAAGACCAAACAATAGACCAATAAAAATTAATAACTACAAGAACTTTTTCAGACAAAGTCAATACAATAGATATAAATAGAAACCATAAAAAGTTAAAAAGCAGGGGGAATGAAGTTAGGACTTAGAGTTTTTATTGGTTTTCCTTTGCTTGTTTGTTTATCCAAATAATGTTAAGTTGTTATCAGGTTAAAATAATGGGTTATAAGATAGTATTTGCAAGCCTCATGGTCACCTCAAGTCAAAAAACATACAATGAATACACAAAAAATAGAAAGAAAATGAATTATATTACTAAAGAAAATCACCTTCACTAGTGAAAGACAGGAAGGAAAGAAATAAGGAAGAGATGACCACAAAACAACCAGAAAACAAATAATAAAATGGCAGGAATAAGTTCTTGTGAATAATAACTTTGAATATAAATGGACTAAAGCCACCAATCAAAAGATATAGACTGATTGAATGGATGAAAAATACAAGACCCATTGATCTGTTGCCTAAAAGAGACACACTCCACTTATAAAGACAAAAATAGACTGAAAATAAAGTGATGGAAGAAGATATTCCACAGGAATGGAAATCAAAAAAGAGGAGGACTTGCTGTGCCTGTATCAGACAAAACAGATTCAAGACAAAAACTATTAGAAGAGACAAAGAATGTCACTACATAATGATAAAGGGGTCAATTTAGCAAGAGGATATAACGATTTAAATATATATGCACTCAACACTGGAGCACCCACATATATATAAAGGAAATAATATTAGAGCTAAAGAGAGAAATAGGCCCTAATAAAATAACAGCTGGAGACTTCAACACCCTAGTTTCAGCATTGCACAGATCTTCCACACAGAAACTCAGCAAACATCAGACTTAATCTGCACTATAGACCAAATGGATCTAATGGATATTTATAGACCATTTTATCCAAGAACCACAGATGACACTTTTTTTTTCTTCAGCACATGGGTTTTTCTCAAGGATAGACCATACGTGAGGTCAAAAAACAACTCTTAAAACATTCAAAAAAATTTAAATAATACCAAACGTCTTCTGTAACCACAATGAAATAAAAGTAGAAATTAATAAGAGGAATTTTGGAAACAATACAAATACATAAAAATAAAACAATATGCTCCTGACTGGCCAGTGAGTAAATGAAGAAATTAAGAAGGAAACTTAAACATTTATTTAAACAAATGATAATGGAAACACAACATAAGAAAATTTATGGGATACAGCAAAAGCAGCACTCAGAGGGAAGTTTACAACTATTGGTGCCTACATCTGATAAAGAGGAAAATCTTCAAATAAACAATCTCACAATGCATCTTAAAGAACTAGAAAAGCAAGAGCAAATCAAACCTAAAAAGAGTAGAAGGAAAGAAATCATAAAGATCAGAGCAGAAATAAATGAATTTGAAATAAAAAATACAAAAGATCAATGAAACAAAAAGTTTTTTTTTAAGTTAATAAAATTGACAAACATTTAGCCAGCCTAAGAAAAAGAGAATATCCAGATAAATAAAATCAGAACTGAATAAGGAGACATTACAACTGATACTGCAGAAATTTAAAGGATCATTAGAGGCTACCATCAGCAACTATATACCAATAAATTGGACAATCTGGATAAATGGATGAATTTCTAGTTACATACAACCTACCCAGATTGAATCAGGAAGAAATCCAAACCTTGAACAGACCAATAACAAGTAATGAGATTGAAGCTGTAATAAAAACTCTTCCAGTAAAGAAAAGTGTGAGGCCTAATAGCTTCACTGCTGAATTCTACCAAACATTTAAAGAACTAATGCCAATCCTGCTCTATTTCAAAAAATGAAAGAGGAGGAAATACTTTCCTACTCATTCTATGAAGCTAGTATCACCCTGATACCAAGGACAGACAAAGACACATCACAAAAAGAAAACTACTGGCCAATATCTCTCATGAATATTGATACAAAAATCCTCAATAAAATACTATTAGGGTGGTGCACAAGTAATTGTGGTTTTTGTCATTAGTAGCAAACCAAATTCAACAATACATTAGAAAGATCATTCATCATAACCAAATGGGATTTTTCCCTAGGATGCAAGGATGATTCAGTGTATTCAAATCAATCAACATGAGACATCATATCAGCAGAATGAAGAATAAAAACTGTAGGATCATTTCAATTGATCCGAAAAAGCATTTAATAATATTCAACATTCTTTCATGATAAAACCTTCAAAAATGGGAGATAAAAGGAACGTATCTCAACATAATAAAAGCCATATATGACAGATCCACAGCTAGTATCATACTGAATGGGGAAAAATTGAAAGTCTTTCCAGTAAGATCTGGAATGCAACAAGGATGCCCACTGTCACCAGTTATTCAACATAGTACTGGCAGTCCTAGCTAGAGCAATCAAAAAAAGAAAGATATAAAGGGGATCTATACTGGAAAGAAAGAATTCAAATTATCCTTGTTTGCTGATGATATGATCTTATATTTGATACAACCTAAAGACTTCACAAGAAAAATAACAGAATGATAAACAAATTAATGAAGTTGAAACTTCAGGATACAAAATTAACACACAAAAACCAGTAGCGTTTCTATATGCCAACAGGGAACAAAGTGAAAAAGAAAGAAAAAAGTAATCCCATTTACAGTAGCCACACATAAAATTAAATGCCTAGGGATTAATTAAAGAACTAAAAGATCTCTATAATGAAAACTGTAAAACACTGATGAAGGAAACTGAAGAGGACAACAAAAAATTAAAAGATATTTTATGTTCATGAATTGGAAGTATCAATATTGTTAAAATGTTCATACTACTCAAAGCAATCTACAGATTCACTGCAATCCCTATCAAAATACCCATGACATACTTTACAGAAATAGAAAAAGCAATCCTCAAATGTATATGGAACTGCAAAAGACCCAGAATAGCCAAAGCTTTCCTAAACAAAAAGAACAAAACTGGAGGAATCACATATCCTGACTTCAAATTATACTACCAATTTTATATGGTAACCAAAAGAGCATGGTACTGGCCTAAAACAGACGTATGGACCAATAGGACAGAATAGAGAATGCAGGAACAAATCTACACACCAACAGTTAAGTCATATTTGACAAAGTTGCCAAGGACATACACTAGAGATATAGCCAAAAGAAAGAAAATTAGTATATTGAACAAATATCAGCATTCCTATGTTTGTTGCTGAGCTGTTTACAATAGCTAAGATTTTGAAGCAACATAAGCGTCCATCAACAGATAAATGGATAAAGAAAATGTGGTATGTATACAAAATGGAGTACTCTTCAGCCATAAAAAAATAAGATCCTTTCATTTGCAACTTCATGGATGGAACTGGAGATCATTGTGTTAAGTGAAATAAGCCAAGCACATAAAGACACACATTGCATGTTCTCATTTATTTATGGGATCTAAAAATCAAATCAGTTGAACTCGTGAAAATAGGGAACAGAAGGATAATTACCAGAGGCTGGGAAGGGTATTGGGGAGTTGGGCGGGAGGCGGGAATAAGTAATGCACACCAAAAAAAAAAAAAATAGAATCAATAAGACCTACTATTTGATAGCATAGTAGGATGACTATAGTCAATAATAGATTAATTATATATTTTTAAATGACTTAATGTAACTGGATTGTTTGTAACTCAAAGGATAAACGCTTGAGAGGATGGATACCTCATTCTCCATGATGTGTTTACTTCACATTGCATATTTTCATCAAAACATCTTATGTACCCTTAAATATATACACCTACTATGTGCCCACAAAAACTTTTTAAAATAATTAAAATTGTTTTGAAATTAAAAAACTGGTAAATGGTAAATGAGAAAGCATTAAAATGAGTTCTATTAACAATAAGAAAAAATCCCAGCAAGTAGGGGTGCTGAGGCAGGACAATCACTTGAGCCCAGGAGTTCAAGACCAACCTGGGCAACATAGCGAGAGCCCATCTCTAAAAAAAAAATAATAATTTAATGATAAGAAAAGAGTAGGAAATAAAATCAGTACTCAAAATTAGTTTCTTACCTAAAGAGTTTTTCCATTAATTACATTTTGAGACTTCTTTATCATATATCATGGGAGTTTTCATTCATATAAACTAATAATCTCCAGAGTGATGTTTTCAAAAAAGTGGTAGAATCTGTTTCTAGAGATTTGGACTGACATTCATCTCACTTAGGTATTTTAGGTAATTTTACTACAACAAAGACTTTTATGAATTGACTTCTTGAATTTAGTCAATGTTAGAAATTTAAACTAGAGGATATGTGGTAAAGTCAGTTAAAGCTTACCAAGGTTTTTGTGTTTTTTTTATTGTTTGTTTATTTGTTTGTTTGTTTGTTTAGAGAAACAGTCCCATTCTGTTACCCAGGCTGGAGTGCAGTGGTGCAATCATAGCTCACTGTAGCCTCAAACTCCTGGGCTCAAGTGATTGTCCCACCTCAGCCTCCCAAGTGGCTGAAACTACAGGTGTTTGCCTCTATGCCCAACGTTTTTTTCTATTTTTTTAAGAGACGGGGTCTCAGTACGTTGCCCAAGCTGTTTTCAAACTCCTGGCCTCAAGCAGTCTTTCCACCTTGGTCTCCCAAAGCACTGGGCTTACAGTCATGAGCCATTGTGCCCAGCCAAGTTTGTTGTGTTTTTTAATGTGAGGACTGATCCATTCCTGGGAGAGGAAATATAATTCTTCTGAAGGCAAACTTATCCTCAGGGTGGTCATAGAAGTGCATTATCAGTTATCAGAAAGAACTTTTTTTGTTTGTTTATTTTACAAATGCTATGCTTTGGATACGGTTTGTTTGGCCCCATCAATTCTCATGATGAAATTTGATCCCCAGTTATGGAGATGTGGCCTACTAGGAAGTGTTTGAGTTGTGGAGGCTGATCCACCATGAATTGCTTGATGTCATTCTCGCAGGAGTGAGTTCTCACTCTTAGTTCCATGAGAACTGGTTGTTGAAAAGAGCCTGGCACCTCCCTCTCTCTCTCTCTCTTGCTTCCTGTCTCACCATGTGATCTTTGCACACTCCAGTTTCCCTTTGCCTTCAACCATGAGTGGAAACATCCTGAAGCTCTCACCAGAAGCAGATCTGGTACCATGCTCTGTGTACAGCCTATAGAATTGTAAGGCAAATAAATCTCTTTTCTTTATACATTACCCAGGCTCCGGTTTTTTTTATAATAACACAAACAGGCAAAAACAGAAAATGACCGCCTCCAAAACAGTTTATGACAAAAGACATCCTAGTAAGCCAGTTCTGTGGATGTTTGTGTGTAGGAATATTTTAATTCTAGGTTTCCCACATGACAGAAGGGACATTCTTTGACTTTTTAAAGACTTACTTTGCTAATATTTTTACACCAGATATTGCTTTTGTTAGTTACAATGTACTGCCATTAGCAATAGAAATATTAATTGTTCATGGCACTTAGGAACATTTTCCTGTGGATTATTTTTTTCTCTTCTAGAAACTAACTTGGCAGGTAAAAAGGAGGGAAGGATTGAGGACTCTGTGTTGCTTTGGGGGAGAAAATATACAGGCTAGTTTTTCTGTGCTCTCAGTGGTAAATCACTTTTTTTCTTTTTTGAGACAGTGTCTTGCTCTGTCACCCAGGCTGGAGTGCAGTGGTGTGAACATGGCTTACTGCAGCCTCATCCTATGAGGCTCAAGTGATACTCCCACCACAGCCTCCTGAGTAGCTGGGACCACAGATGCATGCCACCACTCCCAGCTAATTTTTCTATTTTTTGTAGGAATTGGGTCTCCCTATGTTGCTCAGGCTGTTCTCAAACTCCTGGGCTCAAGTGATCCTCCTGCCTTGGCATCCCAAAGTGTTGGGGCTACAGGCATGAGTCACCACGCCTGGCCAGTAGTTCACTTTTAACTGGAAGCTGAAAATGTTACATCACCAAATTTCAACTGATTCAGAAGCAAGCTCTAATGGGAAATAATAGTAAATAAATATAGGGAGGTGGATGAAAATTATGGTGTTAATTATTCACCTTCCTGAGATTTCTAAGCAATTTCAGGTGACACAGTCTAATTCTCCTTCATTTTTGCTAATGCAAAAACATGTAGAAATTGATAAAGTGAGTGACTCCATGTCATACTGGGAAGTACAGAGTCTAGATCAGAGGTTGTCAGAGTATGGTCTGGGGGCTCCTAAGACCCTTTCAGAGCCTGTGAGTTCCATATGGTTTTCATAATAATGCCAAAATGTTGTTTGGATTTTTCACTCTCATTCTCTCACAAGTATACAATGACATTTTCCAGAGGCTACATGATATATGACGACATCATTGTTCTGAAAGTTAGCATGTGCATTCTTCTGTTTTCAAACATTTTCCAAGATAGTAGGTTTAGGGTATTAACATGGGCACACGCACACACACGCACACACACCTCTCCATTTGTACTCAGTACTTCCACTGTTTTCTTACTAGCTATCTATGCTTATACCTGTCATAATCTTTTAATCTCCTTATTATCCACTAAATCACTATTTAAAATTCTATAGTTTCCCTCATGCTTATGTGGAGACACAAGAAGCAAGTACTTTGTCTTGTGTTGCAGTAATATTTTTAGTTTTCAAAAATTGGTTTATATTTTTTCTAAAATATTTTAGAATTTAATAATATTTTATACTAACAAAATTTTATTTATAAAAGTTTTTCCTCATATTTTGATATGCATTATTGGCTTCCAAAATGGAAACTAGAAGAATCACTGTCCCAAACCACAACTACACCATCCATCTCTAAACATGCTGAAAATCATTTTCTTCTTGAAACTGACATATCCTAATAAAGTTCTTTGACTCAAGGAAGGGAAGAATGTACTCCAAAGAAACTGTACAATGCTGTAAATTAAAATATGATACATTATTCTTTCAGCTGTATAGATGTTAATAATTTACCCTATTGTGTCTTATGGAACTGAACACATTCAGATAGTATTGTTGATGCCAGTTAAATTGCGTCATTTTGAGGTTAATTATTCTGCATTTATAGAAAAAGAAATTAAATATTTTAAACATAGATGGGAAAAGCTGTTTAAAACCAAAAATTGTTTGTTACACTTTTGCAAACTAGAAATAAAGCCACCAAAGCAACTTATGGGTAAATTGTCATAAACTGGCTGGAGGAATACACACAGTAACTAAGAGACTAATTAAGCCTTGTACAGTTGACACTGCTGAATGAATGCCTATTGAATAAAAAGTCAATAAAAAGAATTATGGCACTGCCATCTTCCAATGATACAATAACTCATCTATTTAGCTACAAATATGAAGAATGACATCATCTGCAGAATTACATTTTTGCCTTTCAAACGTAAAAATCTATAAATGTTGCTGAAGTTGCTGTCAATGCTTAGAAACAAGCACAAGTGTTGCTGAAATATGCAAAGTGTTGAATAACTTTTTTGAATCTCATGGTTTATCCTGGAACAGCTATGTTGACAAGGGCCAAACTGTACTACTTGTTACTGTATTCTTTACCATCATGAACTTACTATAAAAATTTTTTGATAATTTTATTTAGAAACATCTTTGACAAAACAGTAAAAGTATTCTGTGGTGTGAAATGGGAAGTATACATAAAGCACTTCCACTACGCACTGAAGTATAATGGTTTTCTCATGGAAAGGTACTTCTGCAGTTGCTTGAGTTGAGAACTGAACTAGTCACTTTTGTCATTAAACACCATTTTTACTTGAATGGAGGATTGACAGAATTATGACCATTCAGATTCAAATATCTGACACATTTTCTCAAAAATTAATAAAGTGAGCATGTCACTTCAAGCAAAACAATAGACAGTATTTGTGGCCAATGGTAAAATTTGAACTCTCAGAAAATAAATTAGAATTTTGCAAAACTTATGTCCACTACTGTGAGCCTGACAGCTTTCCAATACTTATGACTTTTCTTAAGAGATCAGTGGTGATATTAATAAATATAATAGTTTAGATATTTTATAAGAATATGTCAACATTTGGAAGACCTGCATAAATCAGTAAACCAGTATTTTTCATATAACCAACGCATGATGTTACAAAATCATGTTTGGGTAGCAGATCCATTCAAAGTGCAAGATAGACCAGTAGATTTTAATGCAACAAAGTCTGAAAAATTCACTGATATACTGTCAGATTCCACATTGCAAACTAAGAAACTACACTTGTCAAGCTTGTTGTAGAGTCAAAAAAAAATCCACAGTAATTGGAAAAAGCTATTAAAATATTCCTCTCTTCTCAACTATATATCAATTTAAGGCCAAATTTTCTTCAACTAAAACAGCATATCACAGAAAATTGAATGAAGAAGCAGATATGAGAATCCAGCTATCTTCTATTAAGTCAGACATTAAAGAGATTTGCAAATCATAAGACAGTGCCTCTTTTCTCACTAATTCTTTATAAAATATTATTCTTCATAAAAAACATCATATTTATGTTTTGTAATATGTTTACTATTTTAAAGTAAACATATATTTTCTCAAATGTAATTTTCAATACAGTAAATATTGATAAATATAACCCATATATTTAATAAAAGCTATTTAAGGTCTTTAATAATTCTTAAGAGTATAAAAGGAGACCAGACATTTGAGAAATGTTCCTGGGACCAAAACCTTTGAGAAATGTTCTATATGTAGGACATGGATCCATGACTTGAAGTTCCAAGCCTTGTTGGAAATGTAGCATCTTGTCAAACAAGGAAAGTGGTTTCTGAGCAGTGAGGAAGTCATTGTCTCCACTGTGACTTCTAGTGAGCTATATAAACTCTGTGCAAATTAAGTGAACTAATCCTTGAAAATAAGTGTGGAAAAACATATTATGGTATGTGTTATCTTTGGACAACCTAGCATTATATTCTACATTTCTCACACCTATTATCTCTTTTCTTCAAGATTAAGAGTTTTTGATAGGAAGAGAAAGATGGCTGAATAGTAGGCTTCACAAATCATCACACCACCCACCCTGCCCTGAAAGGATCACCAAATTTAACAACTGTCTATACAGAAAAGCACTTTCATAAGAACCCCAAATCAGGTGAGCACTCAGTACCTGGTTTCAACCGAATGTCATTAAAGCAGGCACTGAAGAGGGTAGGAAAGTCAATCTTAAATTGCTGATGCCACCACTCCCACATCCCACAGCAGCAGCTGTGTGTCACGGAGAGAGAACCTCTGTTGTTGGGGGAGAGAGAGATAAAAAATTGTGAGAATTTCCATTGAACACGATGCTGGCTGTGACAGCAGAAAGCAAAACCAGACTGAATTCAGCTAACACCCACAAAAGAGGGAGCATATAGGCCTGCCCTTGCTATAAGGGAATCATTCATCACAGTGGTTGGAATTTGAGTTCCAGCAAGCCTCTCCACCACAGGCTAAAGTCCTATGGGTCCCTAAATAAACCTGAAAGGCAGACTAAACCACAAGAATTGCAACTCCTAGGCAAGCCCTAATACTCAGGGGGGCTCAGAGCCAGTGGACATGTGGGGCACGAGACACACTGAGACACAAGCCAGGGCAGCTAACAGAGTGCTTGCACCACGCCTTCCCAAACTCCAGGTGGCACAGCATCTTTGCTGACCACAATGGAATAATACTAGAAATCAATAACAAGAGGAATTTTGGAAACTATAAAAATACATAAAAATTAAATGATATGCTGCTGAATGACCAGTGGGTCAAAGAAAAAATTGAAAAAAAAATTGACAATTGTATTAAAAATGATAATGAAAATACAACAAAGCAAAACCTTTGGGATACAGTGAAAGCATTACTAACAGGGAAATTTATAACTATAAGTGCCTACATAAAAAAATGAAGAAAGATGGCCGAATAGGAAGAGCTCCAGTCTACAGCTCCCAGCGTGAGCAAAGCAGAAGATGGGTGATTTCTACATTTCCATCTGAGGTACCGGGTTCATCTCACTAGGGAGTGCCAGACAGTGGGTGCAGGACAGTGGGTGCAGTGCACTGTGCGCACCGTGCACGAGCCGAAGCAGGGAGAGGCATTGCCTCACTTGGGAAGCACAAGGGATCAGGGAGTTCCCTTTCCTAGTCAAAGAAAGGGGTGACAGACAGCACCTGGAAAATCGGGTCACTCCCACCCTAATACTGCACTTTTCCAACGGGCTTAAAAAACGGCACACCAGGAGATTATATCCTGCTCCTGGCTCGGAGGGTCCTACCCCCATGGAGTCTCACCGATTGCTAGCACAACAGTCTGAGATCAAACTGCAAGGTGGTAGCGAGGCTGGGGGATGGGCGCCTGCCATTGCCCAGGCTTGCTTAGGTAAACAAAGCAGCCGGGAAGCTCGAACTGGGTGAGCCCACCACAGCTCAAGGAGGCCTTCCTGCCTCTGTAGGCTCCATCTTTGGGGGCAGGGCACAGACAAAAAAAAAGACAGCAATAACCTCTACAGACTTAAATGTCCCTGTCTGACAGCTTTGAAGAGAGTAGTGGTTCTCCCAGCATGCAGCTGGAGATCTGAGAATGGGCAGACTGCCTTCTCAAGTGGGTCCCTGATGCCTGAGCACCCTAACTGGGAGGCACTCCCAAGTAGGGGCAGACTGACACCTCACACGGCCGGGTACTCCTCTGAGACAAAACTTCCACAGGAACAATCAGGCAGCAGCATTTGCAGTTTACCAAAATCTGCAGTTCTACAGCTACTGCTGTTCTGCAGCCACCGCTGTGGATACCCAGGCAAACAGGGTCTGGAGTGGACCTCTAGCAAACTCCAACAGACCTGCAGCTGAGGGTCCTGTCTGCTAGAAGGAAAACTAACAAAGAGAAAGGATATCCACACAAAAACCCATCTGTACGTCACCATCATGAAAGACCAAAAGTAGATAAAACCACAAAGATGGGGAAAAAACAGAGCAGAAAAACTGGAAACTCTAAAAATCAGAGCACCTCTCCTCCTCCAAAGGAACACAGTTCCTCACCAGCAATGGAACAAAGCTGGATGGAGAATGACTTTGACGAGTTGAGAGAAGAAGGCTTCAGGTGATCAAAATATCCGAGCTACAGGAAGAAATTCAAACCAATGGCAAAGAAGTTAAAAACTGAAAAAAAATTAGACGAATGGATAACTAGAATAACCAATGCAGAGAAGTCCTTAAAGGAGCTGATGGAGCTGAAAGCCAAGGCTCGAGAACTATGTGAAGAATGCAGAAGCCTCAGGAGCTGCTGCAATCAACTGGAAGAAAGGTTATCAGTGACGGAAGATGAAATGAATGAAATGAAGCAAGAAGGAAAGTTTAGAGAAAAAAGAATAAAAGAAATGAACAAAGCCTCCAAGAAATATGGGACTATGTGAAAAGATCAAATCTACATCTGATTGGTGTACCTGAAAGTGATGGGGAGAATGGAACCACGTTGGAAAACACTCTGCAGGATATTCTCCAGGAGAACTTCCCCAATCTAGGAAGGCAGGCCAACATTCAGATTCAGGAAATACAGAGAACTCCACAAAGATACTCCTCGAAAAGAGCAACTCAAAGACATATAATTGTCAGATTCACCAAAGTTGAAATAAAGGAAAAAATGTTAAGGGCAGCCAGAGAGAAAGGTCGGGTTACCCACAAATGGAAGCCCATCAGACTAACAGTGGATCTCTCGGCAGAAACTCTACAAGCCAGAAGAGAGTGGGGACCAATATTCAACATTCTTAAAGAAAAGAATTTTTAACCCAGAATTTCATATCCAGCCAAACTAAACTTCATAAGAGAAGGAGAAATAAAATACTTTACAGACAAGCAAATGATGAGGGATTTTGTCACCACCAGGCCTACCCTAAAAGAGCTCCTGAAGGAAGCACTAAACATGGAAAGGAACAACCAGTACCAGCCACTGCAAAGACATGCCAAATTGTATAGACCTTCAAGGCTAGGAAGAAACAGCATCAACTAATGAGCAAAATAACCAGCTAACATCATAATGACAGGATCAGATTCACACATAACAATATAAACTTTAAATGTAAATGGGCTGAATGCTCCAACTAAAAGACACAGACTGGCAAATTGGATAAAGAGTCAAGACCCATCAGTGTGCTGTATTCAGGAAACCCATGGGCTCAAAATAAAGGGATGGAAGAAGACCTACCAAGCAAATGGAAAACAAAAAAAGGAAGGGGTTGCAATCCTAGTCTCTGATAAAACAGACTTTAAACCAACAAAGATCAAAAGAGACAAAGAAGGCCATTACATAATGGTAAAGGGATCAATTCAACAAGAAGAGCTAACTATCCTAAATATATATGCACCCAATACAGGAGCACCCAGATTCATAAAGCAAGTCCTCAGTGACCTACAAAGAGACTTAGACTCCCACACATTAATAATGGGAGACTGTAACACCCCACTATCAACATTAGACAGATCAACGAGACAGAAAGTTAACAAGGATACCCAGGAATTGAACTCAGCTCTGTACCAAGCAGACCTAATAGACATCTACAGAACTCTCCACCCCAAATCAACAGAATATACATTTTTTCAGCACCACACCACACCTATTCCAAAACTGACCACATAGTTGGAAGTAAAGCACTCCTCAGCAAATGTAAAAGAACAGAAATTATAACAAACTGTCTCTCAGACCACAGTGCAAACAAACTAGAACTCAGGATTAAGAAACTCACTCAAAAGCGCTCAACTACATGGAAACTGAACAACCTGCTCCTGAATGACTACTGGGTACATAACAAAATGAAGGCAGGAATAAACATGTTGTTTGAAACCAACGAGAACAAAGACACAACATACCAGAATCTCTGGGACACATTCAAAGCAGCGTGTAGAGGGAAATTTATAGCACTAAATGCCCACAAGAGAAAGCAGGAAAGATCCAAAATTGACACCCTAACATCACAATTAAAAGAACTAGAAAAGCAAGAGCAAACACATTCAAAAGCTAGCAGAAGGGAAGAAATAACTAAAATCAGAGTAGAACTGAAGGAAATAGAGACACAAAAAACCCTTCAAAAAATTAATGAATCCAGGAGCTGCTTTTTGAAAAGATCGACAAAATTGATAGACCGCCAGCAAGACTAATAAAGAAAAAGAGAGAAGAATCAAATAGATGCAATAAAAAATGATAAAGGAGACATAACCACCAATCCCACAGAAATACAAACTACCATCAGAGAATACTGCAAACACCTCTATGCAAATAAACTAGAAAATCTAGACGAAATGGATAAATTCCTCGACACATACACCCTCGCAAGACTAAACCAGGAAGAAGTTGAATCTCTGAGTTGACCAATAACAAGCGCTGAAATTGTGGCAATAATCAATAGCCTACCAACCAAAAAGAGTCCGGGACCAGACGGATTCACAGCCGAATTCTACCAGAGGTACAAGGAGGAGCTGGTACCATTCCTTCTGAAACTATTCCAATCAATAGAAAAAGAGGGAATCCTCCCTAACTCATTTTATGAGGCCAGCGTCATCCTGATACCAAAGCCTGGCGGAGACAAACCAAAAAAGAGAATTTTAGACCAATATCCTTAATGAACACTGATGCAAAAATCCTCAATAAAATACTGGCAAACCGAATCCAGCAGCACATCAAAAAGCTTATCCACCATGATCAAGTGGGCTTCATCCCTGGGATGCAAGGCTGGTCCAACATATGCAAATCAATAAATGTAATCCAACATATAAACAGAACCAAAGACAAAAACCACATGATTATCTCAATAGATGCAGAAAAGGCCTTTGACACAATTCAACACCCCTTCATGCTAAAAACTCTCAATAAATTAGGTATTGATGGGATGTATCTCAAAATAATAAGAGCTAGCTATGACAAACCCACAGCCAATATCATACTGAATGGGCAAAAACTGGAAGCATTCCTTTTGAAAACTGGCACAAGACAGGGATGTCCTCTCTCACCACTCCTATTCAACGTAGTGTTGGAAGTTCTGGCCAGGGCAATGAGGCAGGAGAAGGAAATAAATGGCATTCAATTAGGAAAAGAGGAAGTCAAATTGTCCCTGTTTGCAGATGACATGATTGTATATCTAGAAAACCCCTTCGTCTCAGCCCAAAATCTCCTTAAACTGATAAGCAAATAGAGCAAAGTCTCAGGATACAAAATCATTGTACAAAAGTCACAAGCTTTCTTATACACCAATAAGAGACAAACAGAGAGCCAAATCAGGAGTGAACTCCCATTCACAATTGCTTCAAAGAGAATAAAATACCTAGGAATCCAACTTACAAGGGATGTGAAGGACCTCTTCAAGGAGAACTACAAACCACTGCTCAATGAAATAGAAGAGGATACAAACAAATGCAAGACCATTCCATGCTCATGGGTAGGAAGAATCAATATCGTGAAAATGGCCATACTGCCCAAGGTAATTTACAGATTCAATGCCATCCCCATCAAGCTACCAATGACTTTCTTCACAGAATTGGAAAAAACTACTTTAAAGTTCATATGGAATCAAAAAAGAGCCCGCATCACAAAGTCAATCCTAAGCCAAAAGAACAAAGCTGGAGGCATCATGCTACCTGTCTTCAAACTATACTACAAGGCTACAGTAACCAAAACAGCATGGTACTGGTACCAAAACAGAGATATAGATCAATGGAACAGAACAGAACCCTCAGAAATAATGCCGCATATCTACAACCATCTGATCTTTGACAAACCTGACAAAAACAAGCAATGGAGAAAAGATTCCCTATTTAATAAATGGTGCTGGGAAAACTGGCTAGCCAGATGTAGAAAGCTGAAACTGGATCACTCCCTTACACCTTATACAAAAATTAATTCAAGATGGATTAAAGACTTACAGGTTAGACCTAAACCATAAAAACCCTAGAAGAAAACCTAGGCAATACCATTCAGGACATAGGCATGGACAAGGACTTCATGTCTAAAACACCAAAAGCAATGGCATCAAAAGCCAAAATTGACAAATGGGATCTAATTCAACTAAAGAGCTTCTGCACAGCAAAAGAAGCTACCATCAGAGTGAACAGGCAACCTATGAAATGGGAAAAAATTTTCGCAACCTACTCACCTGACAAAGGGCTAATATTCAGAATCTACAATGAACTCAAACAAATTTACAAGAAAAAAACAAACAACCCCATCAAAAAGTAGATGAAGTATATGAACAGACACTTCTCAAAAGAAGACATTTATGCAGCCGAAAAACACATGAAAAAATGCTCATCCTCACTGTCTGTAAGAGAAATGCAAATCAAAACCACAATGGGATACCATCTCACACCAGTTAGAATGGCGATCATTAAAATGTCAGGAAACAACAGGTGTTGGAGAGGATGTGGAGAAATAGGAACACTTTTACACTGTTGGTGGGACTGTAAACTAGTTCAACCATTGTGGGAGTCGGTGTGGCGATTCCTCATGGATGTAGAACTAGAAATACCATTTGAACCAGCCTTCCCATTACTGGGTATATACCCAAAGGACTATAAATCATGCTGCTATAAAGACACATGCACACGTATGTTTATTGCAGCACTATTCACAATAGCAAAGACTTGGAACCAACCCAAATGTCCAACAATGATAGACTGGATTAAGAAAATGTGGCACATATACACCATGGTATGCTATGCCGACATAAAAAAACGATGAGTTCATGTCCTTTGTAGGGACATGGATGAAACTGGAAACCATCATTCTCAGCAAACTATTGCAAGGACAAAAAACCAAACACCGCATATTCTCACTCATAGGTGGGAATTGAACAATGAGAACACATGGACACAGGAAGGGGAACATCACACTCCAGTTACTGTTGTGTCGTGGGGAGAGGCGGGAAGGGATAGCATTAGGAAATATACTTAATGCTAAATGACGAGTTAATGGGTGCAGCACACCAACATGGCACATGTATACATATGTAACTAACCTGCACATTGTGCACATGTACCCTAAACCTTAAAGTATAATAATAATAAAATTTAAAAAAAACGAAGAACAACTCCAAATAACCAAATGATGCATCTTAAAGAATTAGAAAAGCAAGAGCAAACCAAACTCAAGATTCGTAGAAGGAAAGAAATAATAATGAACAGAACAGAAATAAAGGAAATTGAGATAAAAAAATACAAAAGATGAATGAAACTGAACCTTGATTTTTGAGAAGATAAAATTGACATTTAGGCAGATTAATTAAAACAGGAAGTGAGCGAGAGGGAGAGAGAGAGCGAGATGGAGAGAGAGAGAGAGAAAGAGAAATCCAAATAAGTAAAACTGGAGATGAAAAAGGAGACATTACAACTGATACTGAAATTTGAAGGATCATTAGTGGCTACTAACAGCAACTATGCCAATAAATTGGAAAATCAAAAAAAAATGGAAAAATTCTTAGACACATACAACCTACTGAACAAATCATTAACAAGTAATGTGATTAAAACTGTAATAAAAATTCTTCCAGTAAAGAAAAGCCCAGAACTCAATGGTTTCACTGCTGAATTCTAACAAACATTTAATTTTTAGTTTTAGTTTCAATTTTTGTGTGTACATAGTAAATGTATATATTTAGGAGATATATGGATATTTTGATATAGGCATGCAATGTGAAATAAGCACATCATAGAGAATGGGGTATCTATCTCTTCAAGCATTTATCTTTTGAGTTACAAACAATCCAAATATACTCTTCATTTTAAAATGTTCAGTTATTATTGACTACAGACAACCTAATGCACTATCAAATAGTAGGTTGTATTCATTCTTTTAAACTATTTTCATTGTATCCATTAACCATCTCCACATCCTCCCTGAGTCCCCCACTTTTCTTCCCAGTCTCTACTAACAATCTTTCTACTCTCTATCTGCATGAATACAATTGTCTTAATTTTTAGATCCCACAAATAAGTGAGAAGACGTGATGTTTGTCTTTCTGTGCCTGGCTTTTTACACATAGCATAATGATCTCCAGTTCCATCCATGTTGCTGCAAATAACAGGATCCCTTTTTGTTCATGGCTGACTAGTACTCCATTGTGTATATATACCACACTTTCTTTATTCATTTGTTGATGGACACTTAGGTTGCTTCCAATTCTTCACTATTGTAAACAGTGCTGCAACAAACATAGGAGTACAGATATCTCTTTGATATATTGATTTCTTTTCTATTGGGTACACACTCAGCAGTGGGATTGCTGAATAATATGGTAATTGCTCAATTTTTAGCTTTTTGAGGAACCTCTAAACTTTTCTCCTTAGTGGTTGTGTGAATTTACATTCCCACCAACAGTGTACAGGGGTTATCTTTTCTCCACATCCTCGCCAGCATTTGTTATTGCCTGTCTTTTGGATGTAAGCCATTGTAACTAAGGTGAGATGATATTTCATTGTAGTTTTGATTTGCATTTCTCTGATAATCACTGATGTTGAGCACCTTTTCATATGCCTGTTTGCCTTTCATATGCTTTTTAAGAAATATCTATACAAATCTTTTGCCCATTTATTTTTATTTTTTTATTTTTATTTTTTATTTTTAATGTTTTTTTTTTATTATACTCTAAGTTTTAGGGTACATCTGCACATTGTGCAGGTTAGTTACATATGTATACATGTGCCATGCTGGTGCGCTGCACCCACTAACGTGTCATCTAGCATTAGGTATATCTCCCAATGCTATCCCTCCCCCCTCCCCCGACCCCACCACAGTCCCCAGAGTGTGATATTCCCCTTCCTGTGTCCATGTGATCTCATTGTTCAATTCCCACCTATGAGTGAGAATATGCGGTGTTTGGTTTTTTGTTCTTGCGATAGTTTACTGAGAATGATGATTTCCAATTTCATCCATGTCCCTACAAAGGACATGAACTCATCATTTTTTATGGCTGCATAGTATTCCATGGTGTATATGTGCCACATTTTCTTAATCCAGTCTATCATTGTTGGACATTTGGGTTGGTTCCAAGTCTTTGCTATTGTGAATAGTGCTGCAATAAACATACGTGTGCATGTGTCTTTATAGCAGCGTGATTTATAGTCCTTTGGGTATATACCCAGTAATGGGATGGCTGGGTCAAATGGTATTTCTAGTTCTAGATCCCTGAGGAATCGCCACACTGACTTCCACAATGGTTGAACTAGTTTACAGTCCCACCAACAGTGTAAAAGTGTTCCTATTTCTCCACATCCTCTCCAGCACCTGTTGTTTCCTGACTTTTTAATGATTGCCATTCTAACTGGTGTGAGATGATATCTCATAGTGGTTTTGATTTGCATTTCTCTGATGGCCAGTGATGATGAGCATTTCTTCATGTGTTTTTTGGCTGCATACATGTCTTCTTTTGAGAAGTGTCTGTTCATGTCCTTCGCCCACTTTTTGATGGGGTTGTTTGTTTTTTTCTTGTAAATTTGTTTGAGTTCATTGTAGATTCTGGATATTAGCCCTTTGTCAGATGAGTAGGTTGCGAAAATTTTCTCCCATGTTGTAGGTTGCCTGTTCACTCTGATGGTAGTTTCTTTTGCTGTGCAGAAGCTCTTTAGTTTAATTAGATCCCATTTGTCAATTTTGGCTTTTGTTGCCATTGCTTTTGGTGTTTTGGACATGAAGTCCTTGCCCACACCTATGTCCTGAATGGTAATGCCTAGGTTTTCTTCTAGGGTTTTTATGGTTTTAGGTCTAACGTTTAAATCTTTAATCCATCTTGAATTGATTTTTGTATAAGGTGTAAGGAAGGGATCCAGTTTCAGCTTTCTACATCTGGCTAGCCAGTTTTCCCAGCACCATTTATTAAATAGGGAATCCTTTCCCCATTGCTTGTTTTTCTCAGGTTTGTCAAAGATCAGATAGTTGTAGATATGCGACATTATTTCTGAGGGCTCTGTTCTGTTCCATTGATCTATATCTCTGTTTTGGTACCAGTACCATGCTGTTTTGGTTACTGTAGCCTTGTAGTATAGTTTGAAGTCAGGTAGTGTGATGCCTCCAGCTTTGTTCTTTTGGCTTAGGATTGACTTGGCGATGCGGGCTCTTTTTTGGTTCCATATGAACTTTAAAGTACAAAAAACTACTTTTGCCCATTTTTTTATCAGATTATTAGATTTTTTTCCTATAGAGTTGCTTGAGCTTTCTTATATATTCTGGTTATGAATCCCTTGTCAGATGGGTAGTTTGCAAATATTTTCTCTCATTCTATGGGTTGTCTCTTCACTTTGGTGATTGTATTCTTTGCTGTGCAGAAGCTTTTAAACTTGTGATCTCATTTGTCCATGTTTTCTTTGGTTGCCTGTGCTTGTGAGGTTGCTGAAGAATTTTTTTGCCCAGACCAATGTCCTGGAGATATTCCCCAACTTTTCTTGTAATAGTTCCATAGTTTGAGGTCTTAGATTTAACTCCTTAATTCATTTTGATTTGATTTTTGAATATGGCAAGAGATGGGGTTCTAGTTTCATTCTGAGTATGGATATCCAGTTTTCCCAGCACCATTATTGAACAGACTCTCTTTTCTGCTGTGTATGTTCTCGGTGCCTCTGTAAAAAATGAGTTCACTGTAGGTGTGTAAACTTGTTTCTTGGTTCTCTCTTCTGTTCAATTGATCTATGTTTCTGTTTTTATGCCAGTGCTGTGCTCTTTTGCTTACTATAGCTCTGTAGTATAGTTTGAAGTCATGTAACGTGATTCCTCCAGTTTTGTTCTTTTTGCTTAGGGTTGCTTTTGCTATTCTGAGTCTTTGTGGTTCCATATACATTTTACATTTTTTTCTATTTCTGTGAAAAATGTCTTTGGTATTTTGATAGGGATTGCACTGAATCTGTATATTGCTTTGGGTAATATAAACATTTAAAAAATATTGATTCTTCAAATCCATGAATATGGAATATCTTTCCATTTTTGATGTTTTCTTTAGTTAATTTCCTTACTGTTTTATAATTTTTATTATAGAGATCTTTTAATTTCTTTAAGTTAATTCCTAGGTATTTAATTTTATGTGTGGCTATTGTAAATGGGATTACTATTTTGATTTTTTTCACTTTGTTCAGTGTTGACATATGGAAATGGTCCTGATTTTTGTATGTTGATTTTGTATGCTGCAACTTTACTGAATTTGCTTATCAGTTGTAATAGTTTTCTGGTGGAGTCTTTAGGCTTTTTGCAGTATAAGATTATATCAGCTGCAAACAAGGATACTTTGACTTCTTTATTTCAAATTTGGTTGCCCTTTATATCTTTCGTTTGTCTGATTGCTCTAGCTAGGACTTCTTGCACTATGTTTAATAACAGAGGTGGCAGTGGGCATCCTTATTGTTTTTCAGATCTTAGAGAAAAGCCTTTCAGTTTTTTCTCATTTAGTATGATACTAGCTGTAGGTCTGTTGTAGATGGCTTTTATTATGTTAAGGTGTGTTTCTTCTATCCTCTGTTTTTTGAGGGCTTTTATCATGAAGGGATGTTGAATTTTATCAAATGCTTTTTCAACATTAATTGAATGATCAAATGGTTTTTAATCCTTCATCGTGTTGATATGATATTTTGCATTGCTTGATTTGTGTATATTGAACTATCCTTGCATCATGGAGATAAATCCCACTTTGTCATGATAAACAATCTTTCTAATATACTGTTGAATTCAGTTTGCTAGTCATTTGTTGAGTATTTTTGCATCAATATTCATCAGAGATATTGTCCTGTAGGGTTTTTTAATGTGTCTTTGCCTAGTTTTGATATCAGGATAATACTAGCCTCATAGAATGAATGTGTAAGTATTTCCTCCTCCTCTATTTCTTAGAATCATCTGAGTAATATTGGTACTAACTCTTCAGTAAATGTTTGCAGAATTCCGCAATGAAGCCATTAGGTCCTGGGCTTTTCCTTATTGGGAGAGTTTTTATTACAGCTTTGATTTTGTTATTTGTTATTGGTCTATTCAGGTTTTGGATATCTTCATGGTTCAATCTTGACAGTCTGTATAGGGATTTGTCCATTTCTTCTAGATTTTCTAATGTATTGGTATATAGTTGCTCACAGTAGCCACAAATGATTCTTTGATTATCTACAATATCAGTTATAGTGTCTCCTTTTTTGGTTCTGATTTTATTTATTTGGATGTTCTCTCTTTTTCATAGTTAGGCTGGCTAAAGATTTGTCAATTTTGTTAACTTTTCAAAAAACCAAGGTTTGGTTTCATTCATCTTTTGTATTGTTTTAATTATTTCAATTTCATTTATTTCTGCTCTGATCTTTATTATTTCTTTTTTTTTCTACTAATGTCGGGTTTGGTTTGCTCTTGCTTTTCTAGTGCTTTAAGATGCATCATTAAGTTGTTCATGTAAAGCTTTTCCTCTTTTGATGTAGTCACTGATAGCTATAAACTTCACTCTGAATACTATTTTTCTGTATCACATAGGTTTTGTATGTTATACTTGAATTATTATTTGTGTAAGGAAATCTTTCTTTCAATTTTTTTGTTAATTTCTTCATAGACCCACTAATAATTCAGGAGCATATTGTTTAATTTTTATGTATGTGTTTAGTTTTCTAAATTCCTCTTCTTATTAATTTCTAGTTTTATTTCATTCCAGTCAGAGAAGATGCTTAATATTATTTCTATTTTTGGAAATCTTTAAGAGTTGTTTTGTGACCTAACATGTGGTCTATCCTTGAGAATGATCCATGTGCTGAGGAAAAGATAGTGTATTCTGTAGGTCTTGCATGAAATGTTCTGTAAATATCCATTAGATCCATTTGGCCTGTAGTGCAGATTAAATCTAATGTTTCTTTGTTGAGTCTGTGTGGAAGATCTGTGCAATGCTGAAAGTAGGGTGTTGAACATACACCCTCCCAAGACTAAACCAGGAAGAAGTTGAACCACTGAATAGACCAATAATAGGCTTTGAAATTGAGGCAATAATTAATAGCCTACCAACCAAAAAAAGTCCAACCATAAAAAGTCCAGGACCAGATGGATTCACAGCTGAATTCTACCAGAGGTACAAGGAGGAACTGGTACCATTCCTTCTGAAACTATTCCAATCAATAGAAAAAGAAGGAATCCTCCCTAACTCATTTTATGAGGCCAGCATCATCCTGATACCAAAGCCTGGCAGAGACACAACAAAAAAATAGAATTTTAGACCAATATCCCTGATGAACTTTGATGCAATAATCCTCAATAAAATACTTGCAAACCGAATCTAGCAGCACAACAAAAAGCTTATCCCCCAAGATCAAGTTGACTTCATCCCTGAGATGCAAGGCTGGTTCAACATATGCAAATCAATATACATAATACATCACATAAATAGAACTGAAGACAAAAACCACATGATTATCTCAGTAGATGCAGAAAAAGCCTTTGACAAAATTCAACAGCCCTTCATGCTAAAAACTCTCAATAAACTAGGTATTGATGGAATGTATCTCAAAATAATAAGAGCTATTTATGACAAACCCAAAGACAGTATCATACTGAGAGAGAGGACTAGCTGGATTTCCTAGGCCGACTAAGAATCCCTAAGCCTAGCTGGGAAGGTGACTGCATCCACCTTTAAACACGGGGCTTGCAACTTAACTCACACCCGACCAATCAGGTAGTAAAGAGAACTCACTGAAATGCTAATTAGGCAAAAACAGGAGGTAAAGAAATAGCCAATCATCTATCGCCTGAGAGCACAGCGGGAGTGAAAATGATTGGGATAAAAACCCAGGCATTCGAGCCAGCAATGGCTACCATCTTTGGGTCCCCTCCCTTTGTATGGGAGCTCTGTTTTCACTCTGTTAAATCTTGCAACTGCACACTCTTCTGGTCCGTGTTTGTTATGGCTTCAGCGGAGCTTTTGCTCGCCGTCCACCACTGCTGTTTGCTGCTGTTGTAGACCTGCTGCTCCTGATCCAGTGAGGCGCTCATTGCCACTCCCAAATGGGCTAAAGGCCTGCCATTGTTCCTACCCTGCTAAGTGCCTGGGTTTGTCCTAATCAAGCTGAACACTAGTCACTGGGTTCCACGATTCTTTTCCATGATTCACGGCTTCTAATAGAGCTATAACACTCACCGCATGGCCCAAGATTCCATTCCTTGGAATCCATGAGGCCAAGAACACCAGGTCAGAGAACACGAGGCTTGCTACCATCTTGGAAGTGGCCTGCCGCCATCTTGGAAGCTGCCTGCCACCATCTTGGGAGCTCTTGGAGCAAGGAACCCCCGGTAACAATACTGAATGGGCAAAAACTGGAAGCATTCCCTTTGAAAACTGGCACAAGACAGGGATACGCTCTCTCACCACTCCTATTCAACATAATGTTGGAAGTTCTGGCCAGTGCAATCAGGCAAGAGAAAGAAATAAAGCATATTCAATTAGGAAAAGAGGAAGTCAAATTGTCCCTGTTTGCAGATGACATAATTCTATATTTAGAAAACCCCATTGTCTCAGCCCAAAATCTCCTTAAGCTGATAAGCAACTTCAGCAAAGTCTCAGGATACAAAATCAATGTGCAAAAATCACAAACATTCTTATACACCAATAACAGACAAACAGAGAGCCAAATCATGAGTGAACTCCCATTCACAATTGCTACAAAGAGAATAAAATACCTAGGAATACAATTTGCAAGGGATGTGAAGGACCCCTTCAAGGAGAACTGCAAACCATTGCTCAATGAAATAAAAGAGGACACAAACAAATGGAAGAACATTCCATGCTCATGGATAGGAAGAATCAATATCATGAAAATGGCCATATTGCCCAAGGTAATTTGTAGATTCAATGCCATCCCCATCAAGCTACCAATGACTTTCTTCACAGAATTGGAAAAAACTACTTTAAAGTTCATATGGAACCAAAAAGAGCCTATATTGCCAAGACAATCCTAAGCCAAAAGAACAAAGTTGGAGGCATCATGCTACCTGACTTCAAACTACACTACAAGGCTATAGTAACCAAAACAGCATGGTACTGGTACCAAAACAGAGATATAGACCAATGGAACAGAACAGAGGCCTCAGAAATAACACCACACATCTACAACCATCTGATCTTTGACAAACCTGACAAAAACAAGCAATGGGGAAAGGATTCCCTATTTAATAAATGGTGCTGGGAAAACCGGCTAGCCAGATGTAGAAAGCTGAAACTGGATTCCTTCCTTACACCTTATACAAAAATTAATTCAAGATGGATTAAAGACTTAAATGTTAGACCTAAAACCATAAAAACCCTAAAAGAAAACCTAGGCAATACCATTCAGGACATAGGCATGGGCAAGGACTTCATGACTAAAACACCAAAAGCAATGGCAACAAAAGCCAAAATTGACAAACGGGATCTAATTCAACTAAAGAGCTTCTGCACAGCAAAAGAAACTACCATCAGAATGAACAGGCAACCTACAGAATGGGAGAAAAATTTTTGCAATCTACCCATCTGACAAGGGCTAATATCCAGAATCTACAAAGAACTCAAACAAATTTACAAGAAAAAATCAAACAACCCCATCAAAAAGTGAGCAAAGGATATGAACAGACACTTTTCAAAAGAAGACATTTATGCAGCCAAGAAACACATGAAAAAATGCTCATCATCACTGGTCATCAGAGAAATGCAAATCAAAACCACAGTGAGATACCATCTCACACCAGTTAGAATGGCGATCATTAAAAAGTCGGGAAACAAGAGGTGCTGGAGAGGATGTGGAGAAATAACAATGCTTTTACACCATTGGTGGGACTGTAAACTATTTCAACCATTGTCGAAGACAGTGTGGTGATTCCTCAAGGATCTAGAACTAGAAATACCATTTGACCCAGCGACCCCATTACTGGGTATATACCCAAAGGATTATAAATCATGCTACTATAAAGACACATGCACACGTATGTTTTTTGTGGCACTATTCACAATAGCAAAGACTTGGAACCAACCAAAATATCCAACAATGATAGACTGGATTAAGAAAATATGGCACATATACACCATGGAATACTATGCAGCCATAAAAACAGGATGAGTTCATGTCCTTTTTAGGGACATGGATGAAGCTGGAAACCATCATTCTGAGCAAACTATCACAAGGGCAGAAAACCAAACACCACATGTTCTCACTCATAGGTGGGAATCAAACAATGAGAACACTTGGACACAGGGTGAGGAACATCACACACTGGGGCATGTCGTGGGGTGGGGGGATGGGGGAGGGATAGCATTAGGAGAAACACCTTATATAAATGACAAGTTAATGCGTGCAGCAAACCAATACGACACATGTATACATATGTAACAAACCTGCATGTTGTGCACATGTACCCTAGAACTTAAAGTATAATAATAAAAAAAAAGAAAGTAGGGTGTTGAAGTCTCCAGCTATTATTTTATGAGTGCATATTTATCTCTTTAGCTCGAATATTTGATTTATATATCTGGGTGCTCCAGTGTTGGGTGCATATATATTAATAATTGTTATATCCTCTTGCTGAATTGACACCTTTATCATTATGTAGTGACCTTCTTTGTCTCTTCTGATAGTTTTTGTCTTGACATCTATTTTTTCTGATATAAGTATAGTAACTTCTGCTTTTTTTTTGGCTTCCATTGGCATGGAATATCTTTTTCTATCTCTTTATTTTCAGTCTATGTGTGTTTTTCTGGGTGAAGTGTGTTTCCTGTAGGCAACAGATCAATGGGTCTTGCTTTTTTATTTATTCAGCCAGTATTTGACTTTTGATGAAGAGTTTAGTCCATTTACATTCAATGTTATTGATACGTAAGTACTCGCTCCTGATATTTTATTATTTGTTTTCTGGTTGTCTTGTGGCCTCCTTTCCTTCTTTCTTTTCTTTCTGTCTTCTTCTAGTGAGAGTGGTTTTCTTTGGTGACACAATTTCGTTTCTTGCTTTATATTTTTTGTGTACCCATTATATGTTTTTTGGCTTAAGGCCACCATGAGGCTTGCAAATACTATTTTATAACCCATTATTTTAACCTGATAGCAAGTTAATACTATTTGCATAAAAGAACTAATGGAAACTCTATACCTTAACTCCATTCCCCTGCTTTTTAACTTTTTATGGTTTCCATTTATATATTATTGCATTGACTATGTCTGGAAGATATTTTGTAGTTATTATTTTTATAGGTATATTTTTAGCCTTTCTACTTAGGATAATAATATTTTACACACCACAGTTAGTGATATAATATTCTGTGCTTTTCTGTGTACTTACTATGACCAGTGAGTTTTTTTCATTTAGGTAACTATTTCTCATTAATATCCTTTTGTCTCTGATTGAAGTGCTCCCTTTAGCATTTTTTGCAGGATAGTTCTGATATTCATAAAATTCCTCAGCTTTTCTTTGTCTGGGAAAGTCTCCTTCACATTTGAAGAATATTTTCACCAGATACACTGTTCTAGGGTCAACATTTTGTGTTCCTTTTTTTCCTTCAGCACTTTAAATATGTCATGCCCCTCTCTTCTAGCCTATAAGATTTCCACTGAAAGTTCTGCTACCAGAAGAATTGGAGCTTTATTGTGTTTTTTGTTTCTCTTATTTTGCTGCTTTTAGGATCCCTTCTTTATTCTTGACCTTTGGGAATTTGATTATTAAATGTTTAGAGGTAGTCTTCTTTGGGATGAATCTTCTTGATGTTCTGTAACTTTCTTATACATGAATATTGATATTGTTCTTTTAGGTTTGAGGCATTCTCTGTCATTATCTCTTTGAATAAACTTTCTACCCCTCTTACTTCCTCTACCTCTTTCTTAAGCCTAATAACTTTAAATTTGCCCCCTTCAAGGCTATTTTCTAGATTCTGTAGGCATGCTTCATTGTTTTTTATTCATTTTTCTTTTGTCTCCTGTGTATTTTCAAATAGCGTGTCTTCAAGCTCACTCTTTCCTTCTTCTGCTTCATCAATTCTGCTATTAAAGATGCTGACACATTCTTCAGTATGCCAACTGCATTTTTCAGCTCCAGAATCTCTGCTTGATTTCTTTTCATTATGTCAATGTCTTTGTTAAATTTATTTGATAAAATTCTGAATTACTTCTCTGTGTTACCACAAATTTCTTTGAGTATCCTCAATACAGCTAATTTGAATCTCTGTCTAAAAGGCCACACATCTCTGTTGCTCCAGGATTGGTCCCTAATGCCTTATTTAGTTCATTTTATGAGGTCATGTTTTCCTGAATGGTGTTAATGATACTAGATGTTCTTCAGTGTCTGGGAATTGAAGAGTTAGGTGTCTGTTATATTCTTCACTATCTGGGCTTATTTGTAGTCATCTTTCTTGGGAAGGCTTTCCAGATATTTGCAAGGACTTGGGTGTTTGATATAAGCTGTATCTGCTTTAGGGGGCACCCAAAGACCTATCACACTGTGGTTCTTGCAGACTCTTAGAGGGACTGCCTTGATGGTCTTTGACAAGTTCCAGGAGAATACTCTGAATTACCAGGCAGAAACTGTGGTTCTCTTTCCTTACTTTCTTCTAAACATACAGATTATCTCCCTCTTTCTGTTTAAGCTTCTTGTATTTGGATGTCTAGATCTCTAGCAAGACCAGGGAAGTTCTCCTTGATTATTCCCTCAAATCAGTTTTTAAAACTTTTAGATTTATCTTCTTCTTCAGGAACACAAGTGCCTGGTCACTTGACATAATCTCAAATTTTTTGGAGGCTTTGTTCTTTTTTTATTCTTTTTTCTTTTTTTTTTCTTCATCTACCGAGTGTTTTCTTTTTTTTTTTTTATTATACTTTAAGTTTTAGGGTACATGTGCACATTGTGCAGGTTAGTTACATATTCTTTGTCTTTGTTTTAGTGGGTTAATTTGAAAGCCTTGTCTTTGAGCTCTGTTCTTCCTTCTATTTGTTTGAGTCTGTTGTTGAAATTTTCCAGTGTATTTTGCATTTATCTAAGTGTGTCTTTAATTTCCACTAGTTGTAATTGTCTTTTCTTTATGATGTCTATTTCTCTGGAGACTTTGTCATCCAAATTCTATATTTTTTAGAATTTCTTTAAGTTGGTTTTTGCCTTTTTCTGGTGCCCCCTTGAGTAGCTTAATAACCCTCTGAATTCTTTTTCTGGCAATTCAGTGATTTCTTCTTGGTGTGAATCCATTGCCAGAGAGCTAGTGTGATATTTTGGGGGTGTTATAGAACCTTGTTTTGTCATATTACCAGAATTACTTTTCTGGTTCCTTCTCATTTGAATAGACTGCTTCAGTGGAAAGATCTGGAACTCAAGGGCTGCTGTTCAGATTCTTTTGTCCCACAGGGTGATCCCTTAATGTGGTGCTCTCCCTCTTCCTCAAGGGATAATGTTTCCTGAGAGCTGGATGGCAGTGATTGTTATTGCCCTTCTTGGTCTAGCCACTCAGTGGGACTACCAGGCTTCAGGCTGGTGCTGGGGAATATCTGCAGAGTCCTGTGATGTGATCCCATCTTTAGGTCTCCCAGTTGTGGATACCAGCACCTGCTTGGAGGTGACAAGGGAGTGAAGTGGACTCTGTGGAAATCCTTGGTTGTTGCTTTCTTTAGTGTCCTGGTTTTCTCAAATACTCGTTATGCTAGGAGTGAAGTTGCCATGTGGACAGACTCAGGACCTCTGGTTAGCCAGGGTGTTGCAGGCCGTTGAATTAGCTTTCATTTTCTCCTTCTTTGAAGCAGGGTTGTTCTGCTTCAAAGTTGCTGTAATGGCGTGAGTTTGTTGGCCTCCAGCCAGGAGGTGATGCTTTCAAGAGAGTGCCAGCTGCAGTAATACAAGGGGAATATAATCTTGCCCTACATTGGCCAAGATGAGTACTCGGGTTTCTTAGGTGATGGATGCAGGGCTTACTGTGGACACTGGCGGATGGGGGGATGGTTGTGAGGCCAATGGAGTTATGTTCCCAGGAGGATTATGGCCACCTCTGCTGTGTCGTACACTTCGTCAGGGAAGTAGGGGAAAGCCAGCAATGACATGCTTCACCCAGCTCCCACACAGCCAGCAAAGCCAATCTCACTCCAGCTGTGCCTCCCCAACTGCACTGAGTTTATATCCAGGCAGCTAGTGAGCAGGGCTGAGATCTCGCCCCAGGCTACAAGCCTCCTGGCTGAGAAAGCAAGCAGGGTTCTCAGGCCTTGCCTCCCCACCTGTCTGCACCTTCAGCTGCAGTTCTGTGCTTGTGTCTGCATTTGTCATTTGCCCCCTCCCCAGATTCTACTCAGGAAAGTTCAAGCTCAGTTGAAATCATTACAAAGTTCAGCTACGAGCTTCTTTCACCCTGTGGCCCCAAAGTCTTTTAAGTCAGCTTGTCATGAATGCTGCCTGACCTGTGACTTACCCTTCAGGGCAGCAGGATTTCCTCTCTGGCCCAGGTCAGGACTAAAAATGCCATCCAAGTGTCAAGTCCTAGATTTGAGGACCTCAAGAGCCTACTTGGTGTTTTATATCCCTGGGGCCATGCTGGTACCTATGGTGCAAGACATACTCCCCTTTACTTTGCTCTCTGCTTTTCTGAAGGAGAAGGGATTTTTCCCCATAGCCACCACAGCTGGTAATGTACTGAGTCTCATCTGAAGCCAGCAAGTCTCAGATGCTTACCCAAGTCCCTAGATGTGGTACCCAGCTATCACTGTTCATTATTCAGGGCCCAAGGGCTCTTCAGTTAGCAGGTGATGAATGTTGCCAGGACTGAGTCCTTTTCTTCAAGGCAGTGGGTTCCTTTCTGGCATATGGTTGTCTAGAAATGTCATCCAGGATTTAGGGCCCGGAACTAGGGCCTCATGACTGACTAGTTCCCTGTCCTGCTGTGACCGAGCTGGTATCCTACATGCAAGACAAAATCTTCCCTACTCTTCCATCTCCTTCCCTCAAGTGGAAGAAAAGGTCTGTTTTGGAGCCACTGTGTGGCCTGGGGTTGAGGGAGGAGTGATGCTAGCACTTCCTTGGCTGCCCCAGCTGATGTCTCAGTATGTTGCGTTCCAATGACCCCCACCCAAGTTCACTGTCTCTTGGTCTAGTTCAGCACTAGGACTCACCTAGAAGTTGCAGTCATTATGGCCTAGACCATATTTCAAGTTTACTTGGAGACACAGAGTGCTGTGGCCCTCAGTGGTAAGGTTTTCAAGCACTCAAGTTCAGACCACTGAAACTGACCATTTTTCTCTGGCTGGTTTAAATGTTCCCTCCATAGGCAGGTGTCAGCTGAGTTTGGTCCAGTTTTACTTTTCTGCTCTAACAGGACAGCACTGAGTTCAATGTCTCACAAGTGCTGTGTTCTCCCTCCCGCAGTGCCCACAGAAGCTCTCTGCACCAAGCTGCTGCTGGGGGTGGGAGAGGGATGGCATTGCTGATTCCGTACGGTTTATTTAAATCTCTTCAGTGCCTCTAACAGTGATGTGAAGTTAAATCCAGGTACTATGAGTGCTCACCTAATTTTTTTGTTCTTTTGAAAGTATTTTCTTCTGTGTAGATATTTGTTAACTTGGTGTCCTTGTTGGGGGTCAATCAGTGGACCTTTCTCTTCTAACATTTTGCTCCATGTCCTGAATTCTACCAAACATTTAAAGAAGAACTAATATTAATCCTACTCCAACTATTCCCCAAAATATAGGAGGAAATACTTTCAAACTCATTCTACAAGAGCAGTATAACCCTGATACCAAAATGAGACAAAGACATACCAAAAAAAAAAAAAAAAAAAAAAAACAGAACAAAAAACAAAAAAAAACTATAGGAAAACATAACTGATGAATATAAATGCAAAACTCCTAAACAAAGTAATAGCAAAGCAAATTCAAACAATACATTAAAAAGATTATCATCATGATCAAGTAGGATTAATCATAGGGATGTATGGATGGTTCAACATACGCAAATCAACCAATGTGATACATCTCATCAACAAAATGAAGGACAAAAACCATATGATCATTTTAATTGATGCTGAAACAGCATTTGATAAAATTCAACATTGCTTCATAATAAAATCCACAAAAATCTTGAGATAAGAGAAACATATCTTAACATAATAATAGCTATATATGACAGACCCACAGCTAGTATCATAGTAAATGGAGAAAAACTGAAAGCCTTTTCTCTAAGATCTGGAACATGAAAAGGATGCCCACTGTCATCACTGTTATTCAGCATAGTACTGGAAGTCCTAGCTAAAGCAATCAGACAAGAGAAAGATATAAAGGGCATTCAAATTAGGAAGAAAGAAGTCAAATTATCCTGGTTTGCTGATGGTATAATCTTATGCTTGGAAAAACATAAGACTCCACAAGAAAACTATTGTAACCGATAAACAAATTCACTAAAGTTTCAGGATACAAATTCAACATACAAAAATCAGTAGCATTTCTATATGCCAACAATGAACAACTGAAAAAGAAATTGTAAAAGTAATCCCATTTACAATAGCTACGCATGAAATTAAATACCCAGAAATTAACCCAACCAAAGAAGTAAAAGATCTCTGTAATGAAAAGTATAAAACACCAAAGAAACAACTTGACAAAGACACCAAAAAATGGAAAGGTATTCCATGTTTATGGATTGGAAGAATCAATATTGTTAAAATGTCTATGCTACCCAAAGCAATCTACCAGTTTAATGCAATCCTTATCAAAATGCCAATGACATTATTCACAGCAATAGAAAAAAAAAGTCCTAAAACTTATATGAAACCACAAAAGACCCAGATTAGCCAACGCTATCCTAAGCAAAATGAACAAAACTGGAGGAATCACATTACCTGACTTCAAGTTATACTATAGAGCTATAGTAACCAATACAACATGGTACTGGCATAAAAACTGATACATAGACCAGTGGAACAGAATAAATAATCCAGAAATAACTATACGCATCTACAGTAAACTCTTTTTTGACAAAGGTGCCAAGAACATACAATGGGGAAAGGACAGTCTTTTCAATAAATTGTGCTCAGAAAACTAGATATGTAAATGAAAAAGAATGAATCTAGACCCTTATCTCTCATCATATACAAAAATAAAATCAAAATGACTTAAAGCTGATACATTAAGATGGCAGATAGGAGGCAGGACTAGCTCGCAGCTCCTGGACAGAGAGAGCAGCATGTGGAGACTCACATCATAAACTTTTGTTCCAAGAACTACCGGAGGAACACATAAGGAAACCTGAGAGAATTCACAGACGCTTTGAGAAACTGGATTGCCGCTGCAGGTTCCCTGAGTTGCCAGAAAGCTGTAAGTCAGCTCCCTTTCTCAGCAGAGAGGCTGGTGGTCTGGGACAAGTTCTCATCCCTGGTCACTTGCTGCCTGGAAATAGACTCGGTGCTGCATGGGAGTCGGGTGAGGCCTGTGACTGCTGTCTTTCACCCACTTCCCTGGAGACCTGTATGACTCAGCAGAGGTAGCCATAATCCCTCTGAGAACATAACTCCATTGGCCTGGGAACCACACCCCCATACCCCACAGCAGCCATAGCAAGCCCCACTCAAGGAGAGTCTGAGCTCAGACACGCCTATACCTGCCCCCACCTGGTGGTCTTTCTCTACCTGCCCTGGTTGCCAAAGACAAAGTACATAATCTCTTAGAAGTTTTATGGCCCTGTTCACCACCTGAGAAACCTGAATACTTAACCAGGCAACACTAGGGCAAGTTTGCATCCTCCATATAGTACCACAGCTGATGTGCTCTTGAAAGTGCCACCTCCTGGCTGGAGGCCAAGCAACACAAAAACAGCACACTAAACAGAAATACAACCAAGGACCTTCTCAGAGTCTACTTCACTCCCCTGCTCCACTGGAGCAGGTACTGGTATCCACAGCTGAAAGGCCTAAAGATGAATCACATTGCAGGACTCTTTGCAGACCCTTTCCAGTACCAGCCTGGGAGCTCAGTAGCTCTGCTTGTGGCTAGACCCAGAAGAGCAAAAATAATCATTGTGATTCGGCTCTTAGGAAGCCCCATCCCTAGGGGAAGGGGGAGAACACCACATCAAGGGAGCACCTTTTGGGACAAAAGAATCTGAACAACACCCCTTGAGTCCCAGATCTTCCCTCTGACATAGTTTACCCAAATGAGAAGGAACCAGAAAAAAAAAATTATGGAGATATGACAAAACAAGGTTCTTTAACATTCCCAAAAGATTACACCAGCTCACCAGTAATGGATCTAAACCAAGATGAAATCTCTGAAATGCCAAAAAAGAATTCAAGTTGATTATTAAGCTAATCATGGAGGCACCAGAGAAAGGTGAAGTCCAACTTAACGAAATTTTAAAAATGATACAAGATATGAAAGGCAAAATCTTCAATGTAATAGGTAGCATAAATAAAAAACAACCACAACTTCTGGAAATCAAGGACACACTTAGAGAAATACAAAATGCACTGGAAATTCTCAACAATAGAATCAAACGCACAGAAGAAAGAACTTCAGAGCTTGAAGACAAGAATTTTGAATTAATCAAATTCATCAAAGACAATGAAAGAAGAATTTTTAAAAATGAACAAAACTTCCAAGAACCCAAAGCAAATGCAACAAAAACAAAGATAAATATATGAGAATTAGTTAAACTAAAAAGCTTCTGCACAGCCAAAGAAATAATCAGCAGAGTTAACAGACAACCCAGAGAGTGGAAGAAAATCTTCACAATCTATACATCTAACAAAGGACTAATACCCAGAATCTACAAAGAACTTAAACAAATTAGCAAGAATAAGACAAGCAATCCCATCAAAAAGTGGGCTAAGGACATGGCATAGACAATTATTAAAAGAAGATAGACAAATGGCCAGCAAGCATATGGAAAAATGCTCAACATCACTAATTATCAGGGAAATGCAAATCAAAACTACAAGGCAATACTACCTTACTCCTGCAAGAATGGCCATAATCAAAAAATAAAAAAATAATAGATGTTGGCAAGGATGTGGTGAAAAGGGGACAATTTTACACCGTTGGTGGGAACGTAAACTAGTACAACCACTATGGAAAACAGTGTGGAAATTCCTCAAGGAACTAAAAGTAGATCTACCATTCAATCCAGCAATCCCATTACTAGGTATCTACCCAGAGGAAAAGAAGTCATTATACATAAAGGATACTTGCACAGGCATTTTTATAGCAGCACGATTTGCAATTGCAAAAATATGGAAACGGCCCAAATGCCCATCAATCAACGAATGGATAAAGAAAATGTGAAATATATGTGTGTGTATATATATATACACACACACACACCATGGAATACTACTCAGCCATAAAAAAACAACAAAATAATGGCATTTGCAGCAACCTGTATAGAATTGGAGACCATTATTCTAAGTGAAGTAACTCAGGAATGGAAAACCAAACGTCATATGTTCTCACTTATAAGTGGGAACTAAGGCTGGATGTGGCGCCTCATGACTGTAATCTTAGTACTTTGGGAGGCTGAGGCGGGTGGATCACTTGAGATCAGGAGTTCAAGATCAGCCTGGCCAACATGGCAAGACCCCATCTCTACTAAAAATCCAAAAATTAGCTGGGCATGGTGGTGGGCACCTGTATTCTCAGCTACTCGGGAGGCTGAGGCAGGAGAATCGCTTGAACCTGACAGGCAGAGGTTGTGGTGAGCTGAGATCATGCCAATGCACTCCAGCCTGGGCAACAGAGCAAGCCTCTGTTTCAAAACAAAACAAAGTGGGAGCTAAGCTATGAGGACACAAAGGCATAAGAATGATAAAATGGACTTTGGAGACTCAGGAGAAAGGGTGGGAAGGGAGTAAGGGATAAAAGACGATACATTGGGTAAACTGTACACTGCTTGGATGATAGATGCACCAAAATCACAAAAATCACCACTAAAGAACTTATTCCTGTAACCAAACACCACCTTTTCCCCAAAATCCTACTGAAAAAAAAAGTCCCTGTAGATGCTTTAAAATAAAAAAATATTTTAAAAACACACAAAATAAATTAAAGACTTAACTCTAAGACCTCAATCTATGAAACTACTAAAAGAAAACATTAGGAAAACTCTCCAGGACTTTGGATTGGGCAAATATTTCTTGAGCAATACCCCACAAGTAAAGACAACCAAAGCAAAAATGGACAAATGGGATCACATCAAGTTAAAAACCTTCTGCACAGCAAAGGAAACAATAAACAAAATGAAGACACAACTGACAGAATGCAAGTAAATATTTCAAACTACCCATCTAGCAAGGAATTAATAACCAGAATATATAAGAAGCTCAATCAACTCCACTGGAAAAAAACAACTAATGATTCAATTTTTTAAAAAGAGCAAAAATCCGAATATACATTTCTCAAAAGAAGACATGGAAATGGCAAACAGGTATGTGAAAAGGTGTTCAACATCACTGGTCATCAGAGAACTGCAAATCAGTTCTACAGTGAGACATCATCTCTCCCCAGTTAAAGTAGCTTTTACCTGAAAGACATGCAATAACAAATGCTAGCAAGTATATGGAGAAAAGGGAACCCTTGTATACTGTGGATGGGAATGTAAATTATTACAACCAATATGGAGAACAGTTTGGAAGTTCCTCAGAGAACGAAAAAGGGATCTATTATATAATACAGCAATCCTACTACTAAGTATATATCCAAAAGAAAGGAAATCAATATATCAAAAACACGTCTACACTCCCATGTTTGTTATAGCACATTTTTTTAAAGCAGCATTACTCTGTAATTTATTTTCTTTTTTCAACTTTTATTTTAGGTTTAGGAGTACACGTGCAGGTTTTTTATAAAGGTAAAGTGCATGTAATGGGGGTTTGGTGTAGAGATTTTTTTCAACACCCAGGTAATAAGCATAGTTCCTGATAGGTAGTCTTTTATCCTCTCCCTTCTGCCACTCTCCACCCTCAATTAGACCCTGGTGGCTGTTGTTCCCCTCCTTATGTCTGTGTGCTTTCATTGTTTAGCTCCCACTTATAAGTGAGAACATGTGGTACTTGGTTTTATGTTTTTGCATTAGTTCACTTAGGATAACGGCCCCCAGCTTCATCCATGTTGCTGCAAAAGACAAGATCTGATTCTTTTTTATGGCCACATAGTGTTCTATGACGTATATGCACAACATTTTCTTTATCCATTCTACTGTTAATAGGCATTTAGGTTGATTCCATGTTTTTGCTATTGTGAATAGGTATTGCAGTACTATTCACAATAGCCAAGATTTGGAAGCAACCTAAGCATCCATCAACAGATTATTGGATAAAGAAAATGTAGTACATGTACATAATGTAGTACTGTTGAGCCATAGAAATAATGAGATCCTGTCATTTGCAACAACATAGATGGAACTGGAGGTCATTATATTAAGTGAAATAAGCCAGACACAGAATGACAAACTTCACATGTTCCCCCTTATTCGTGGGAGCTAAAAATTAAAATGATTCAATCATGGAGATAGAGAGTAGAAGGATGGCTACCATAGGATGTAAAGGGTATGGTAGGGGTAGGGGTGGAAGTGGGAATGGTTACTGGGTACAAAACATACTTAGAAAAATGAATAAGACCTAGTACTTGCTACACAACAGGGTGAGTATAGTAAAAAATAATTTAATTGTAATTTTAAAATAACTATGTATAATTAGATTGTTCGTAACAAAAAGGACAAATGCTTGAGGGGATGGATACCCCATTTACCCTGATGTGACTATTATGCATTGCATGTCTGTATCAGAATATCTCTGTGCCCCATAAATATATACACCTATTGTGCGTCCACAAAAATTTTAGAAAATTAAAAAGATAAGAAATGTTTTTCAGATAAAATCACAATTAAAAGAACTGGAAAAGCAAGAGCAAGCACATTCAAAAGCTAACAGAAGGCAAGAAATAACTAAAATCAGAGCAGAACTGAAGGAAATAGAGACACAAAAAACCCTTCAAAGAATTAGTGAATCCAGGAGCTGGTTTTTTGAAACGATCAACAAAATTGATAGACCGCTAGCAAGAGTAATAAAGAAAAGAGAGAAGAATCAAAAAGACACAATAAAAATGATAAAGGGGATATCACAACCGATTCCACAGAAATATAAACTACCATCAGAGAATACTACAAACACCTCTATGCAAATAAACTAGAAAATCTAGAAGAAATGGATGAATTCCTCGACACATACACCCTCCCAAGCCTAAACCAGGAAGAAGTTGACTCTTTGAATAGACCAAAAACAGGATCTGAAATTGTGGCAATAATCAATAGCTTACGAATCAAAAAGAGTCCAGGACCAGATGGATTCACAGCCAAATTGTACCAGAGGTAAAAGGAGGAACTGGTACTATCCCTTCTGAAACTATTCCAATCAATAGAAAAAGAGGGAATCCTCCCGAACTCATTTTATGAGGCCAGCATCATCCTGATACCAAAGCCTGGCAGAGACACAACCAAAAAAGAGAATTTTCGACCAATATCCTTGATGAACATTGATGCAAAAATCCTCAATAAAATACTGGCAAACCGAATCCAGCAGCACATCAAAAAGCTTATCCAGCATGATCAAGTGGGCTTCATCCCTGGGATGCAAGGCTGGTTCAATATGTGCAAATCAATAAATGTAATCCAGCATATGAACAGAACGAAAGACAAAAACCACATGATTATCTCAATAGATGCAGAAAAGGCCTTTGACAAAATTCAACAACCATTCACGCTAAAAACTCTCAATAAATTAGGTATTGATGGGACATATCTCAAAATAATAAGAGCTATCTATAACAAACCCACAGCCAATATCATACTGAATAGGCAAAAACTGGAAGCATTCCCTTTGAAAACTGGCACAAGACAGGGATGCCCTCTCTCACCACTCCTATTCAACATAGTGTTGGAAGTTCTGGCCAGGGAAACTAGGCAGGAGAAGGAAATAAAGGGTATTCAATTAGGAAAAGAGGAAGTCAAATTGTCCCCGTTTGCAGATGACATGATTGTATATCTAGAAAACCCCATTGTCTCAGCCCAAAATCTCCTTAAGCTGATAAGCAACTTCAGCAAAGTCTCAGGATACAAAATCAATGTGCAAAAATCACAAACATTCTTATACACCAATAACAGACAAACAGAGAGCCAAATCATGAGTGAACTCCCATTCACAATTGCTTCAAAGAGAACAAAATACCTAGGAATCCAACTTACAAGGGATGTGAAGGAACTCTTCAAGGAGAACTACAAACCACTGCTCAATGAAATAGAAGAGGATACAAACAAATGGAAGACCATTCCATGCTCATGGGTAGGAAGAATCAATATCGTGAAAATGGCCATACTGCCCAAGGTAATTTATAGATTCAATGCCATCCCCATCAAGCTACCAATGACTTTCTTCACAGAATTGGAAAAAACTACTTTAAAGTTCATATGGAACCATAAAAGAGCCCACATCACCAAGTCAATCCTAAGCCAAAAGACCAAAGCTGGAGGTATCACGCTACCTGACTTCAAACTGTACTACAAGGCTACAGTAACCAAAACAGCATGGTACTGGTACCAAAACAGAGATATAGATCAATGGAACAGAACAGACCCCTCAGAAATAACGCTGCATATCTACAACTACCTGATCTTTGACAAACCTGACAAAAACAAGCAATGGGGAAAGGATTCCCTATTTAATAAATGGTGCTGGGAAAATTGGCTAGCCAGATGTAGAAAGCTGAAACTGGATCCCTTCCTTACACCATATACAAAAATTAATTCAAGATGGATTAAAGACTTAAACGTTAGACCTAAAGCCATAAAAACCCTAGAAGACAACCTAGGCATTACCATTCAGGACATAGGCATGGGCAATGACTTCATGTCTAAAACACCAAAAGCAATGGCAACAAAAGCCAAAATTGACAAATGGGATCTAATTCAACTAAAGAGCTTCTGCACAACAAAAGAAACTACCATCAGAGTGAACAGGCAACCTACAGAATGGGAGAAAATTTTTGCAACCTACTCATCTGACAAAGGGCTAATATCCAGAATCTACAATGAACTCAAACAAATTTACAAGAAAAAAACAAACAACCCCATCAAAAAGTGGGCAAAGGATATGAACAGACACTTCTCAAAAGAAGACATGTATGCAGCTAAAAAACACATGAAAAAATGGTCACCATCACTGGCCATCAGAGAAATGCAAATCAAAACCACAATGAGATACCATCTCACACCAGTTAGAATGGCAATCATTAAAAAGTCAGGAAACAACAGGTGCTGGAGAGGTTGTGGAGAACTAGGAGCACTTTTACACTGTTGGTGGGACTTTAAACTAGTTCAACCCTTGTGGAAGTCAGTGTGGCGATTCCTCAGGGATCTAGAACTAGAAATACCATTTGACCCAGCCATCCCATTACTGGGTATATACCCAAAGGACTATAAATCATGCTGCTATAAAGACACATGCACACATATGTTTATTGCGGCACTATTCACAATAGCAAAGACTTGGAAGCAACCCAAATGTCCAACAATGATAGACTGGATTAAGAAAATGTGGCACATATACACCATGGAATACTACGCAGCCATAAAAAATGAAGAGTTCATGTCCTTTGTAGGGACATGGATGAAATTGGAAATCATCATTCTCAGTAAACTATCACAAGGACAAAAAACCAAACACCGCATGTTCTCACTCATAGGTGGGAATTGAACAATAAGAACACATGGACACAGGAAGGGGAACATCACACTCTGGGGACTGTTGTGGGGTGGGGGTAGGGGGGAGGGATAGCTTTAGGAGATATACCTAATGCTAAATGACGAGTTAATGGGTGCAGCGCACCAGCTTGGCAGATGTATACATATGTAACTAACCTGCACATTGTGCACATGTACCCTAAAACTTAAAGTATAATAATAATAAAATAAAATAAAAAAAGATAAAGACCCATACTTTTTGTTATAGATGAGAAATTTCAGGCTCAAGAAGAGAGATGATTTATCTAAAGTCTATTGTTAATGGGCATTTAGGTTGATTCCTGAATAATATTGTTCACTGCATCCACAGTAACTAACACTATGTAGACACTCAATACCTATTTGAGGTGTGCATATCTAAATGAGTGAGTGAGTGAATCAATAAATCTATGACAGAGCTTGGAGAAATGAGGACTCCGTATTCTGAGTCCTGTATTCTCATACTCTTACACAGCCTCCTTATATTAATATAGAAAAAGAGTAAACGTGCTTCAATTACAGTAGCAGGAAAGATTTATTCATAATAAAGAAGTTTTTGGTAATTTAAGGCTAATTCTAGGCTTTTATCTTAAGATATAGAGTGTCCCCCTACTTCTTTTAAGAATAGGAGAAAACCACTGGAAAAGTTATACTGTATCCTCCTAGTAACCCTATTGGTCTTTCTTACTGGGACTTTTAGATTTTCAAGAAGAAGTACAACTTTGTTGAGTTCAGTCTTTTTCCACCTGTGTCATAGCAGTAAAATCACTTTTCATCAGAAACTACGTTTCAAATGTACTTTTATAAGCATGTATATGTGTATATATATATATAAGTGTATATGTATACGCACACACAGACACACACATAAATGAATTATAATTATCCACACACCACATTCAAGAACTTACAGCCTAAAGAAAGGGTCAATGTCTAGTAACCTAGATATAGGTTCCCAATTACTTTATTTTTATAGGTATCCTGGCCCAGTTATTATAAGAAAGGGTAAAATTCTAATTTATGCCATGCCCAGGATGTAATAGGAGCTCACTTTGTTGCTTGAATGACTAATCTTATAGGAATATTAACAAAGGCATCTGGATGTAATACTTCCCTGTATAAAATGGGCTCTAATTTTTAAGGGAAAGTAGATACCAAGGTTACTTTTTGCCTCACCCCTTGATGAATTTACAGGGAATATCATACACTTCAGACTTCTTTCAAAAGTCCCTGTTAATGGTTGAGCTTATTGGGAACTCAGTCTACAGTCTTCATGAAGTCTTTCAAGGCTCAAGAGCCCATCTCCAGTAAATTCCAATGCAATGTCTTTCTTTTTAGTGTTTTCAGGAACTAAGATTTGGAATGAATAAAAATGTTATAGGCTGGGCACAGTGGCTCACGCCTGTAATCCCAGCACTTTGGGAGGCTGAGGCGGGTGGATCACCTGAGGTCAGGAGTTTGAGACCAGCCTGACCAATATGGTGAAACCTCGTCTCTACTAAAAATACAAAAAAATTAGCCAGGTGTAGTGGCGTGTGCCTGTAGTCCCAGCTATTCGGGAGGCTGAGAAAGGAGAATTGCTTGAACCAGGGAGGTGGAGGTTGCAGTGAGCCGAGAGCCAAGATCGCGCCAATGCACTTCAGCCTGGTCGACAGAGAGAGACTCCATCAAAAAAAAAAAAAAAAAAGTTATAAACAAATTAGAGTTGACAGTTCCTAATGTAGAGGATTTTACTTAACTTTTTAAAAAAGTATTATCTTGTGAAGGAGTGGCGTTTAAACTAGTGGGGTTTAAAGTGGGAGTTAGGAAACCTACATTCCAGTCCTGGCTCTGCTATTGATTGTTGTTGAGGGACCCTGGAGAGATGACTTGCTGCATACTCTGGATAATTTCTGTCTCCCTGTGCTTCACAGGAATTATATGAGAGTGAGAATGTATGTGAAAACATATTGAGCTCCTTAATATAAAAATTAAATGCTACAGCTAGACTTAAGAATAAAGTTATCTTCTATTTTTCCATCCAAAATGCTCCGTTTCCACTCCTTTACACGCTTTAAGGGTTGTTACAATAAACAAAGTGTAATGTTTAACACATGTAATAAACCATAGATTCTGACCAAAAATAAACCCAAAAAGACCAACAAAAAGCAGGTGGTCCAATATAAAAACAAATGTGCTTTTTCCCCCTTACTTCTATTATGGCACCAGCCACCCTTCCAGTTAGTTACCCAGGCTTGTAATCATTGTGTGTGTGTGGCTTTTTTTTCTTCTTGTCTATGGCACACCAAACTGTAAGCTTCTGGAGAGCAAGAACCATTTCGTTCATGTTTGTAGCTCCGACAGTATCTAGTAAGGCCCTTGCTCATGGGATTCAGTAAATGTGTGCTTGGTGAATAGATTCTCAGCGTAAGGTTGCTTGTAGAGTTTCTTACCTTTTAATTCTTCTGGCCTCCCTACCTCCAGTGAACAAATAAGGCTCAGGATTACTTGTTCTTTCATATAATTCTATTTCCAGCTTGTTCTCTCTGTTACTTTTTGCAAGTTTAAAATGTCATCAGACTTTTACTATCATAAATTGAACTAAGAAGCTGTTCTAAAATGATATTTGACCTTTGTAGGAAAAAACTCTGTGTGCAACTCTAAGACGAAAGGTTCAAGGGAAACCTAAGAAGTGCCTGACTTACTCTAGTGTGAAGCCTGTTTTATTTTAAACTCTAGCATCTACTATTCTTCCACTGATCGCCTGAAGGCCAACTTAGAACATATCTGGAACTCCCAAAGCAACATTTTGTGTCAGATATGTGAATAATTCACAAGACAGCTCCTTCTTTTCTTTTTTATCTTGATTAAAGTCACTCTGTTGTCCTAGTCTCCCACTAATATCTTCAGAATCCCTCAAAAAACAACATTTTGTCAAAGTCCATTAGTTTACTCTTGCTAATTCATTCGAACAGACATTTGCTCCTGAGATATCTCCAGTTTGCTTCATTCTCATTGCACCTCCATAGTTTAGGCTCTTATTACTTGAAATCACCAGGCCCATTCATTACTTGCAAATGGAAAATTTTCATTTGCAAGCCATTCCTTCCCCATTCCTTTTCCAGTCCATTCTTTTCTAGTCCATTCCCTCCCCATTTCCCCAGTGCCATCAGAGTTATCTTCCTAAAACACATATCTAAGCTTGAGCTCACTTCTTAATAAAATCCTTACTGCTCAGCCTGGCATCCAAGATCCTCCAAAATAAGCCCCAATTTAGAGTGCCCAGTATCATCTTCCATTTCAGATTTGAACGCACAAATCTTACATGTACATTATTTTATCACCATCACCCAATTTTTTTTTACTTTTACCTCTGACCCCTTGTTTAAGTTATTACTTCTGCATAGAGTGCTCTACTCCCCCTTACCTGAAAGATTTATCCGTTCTTCAAAGAAGGTTCAACTAAAATCCTATACCCTTCACAAAACTTATATTTCCCAAATCCAACCCCAGTTTAAATTCATCTTTCCTGACTGTATACTCCCTTCACACTTTGGACTTGTGGACATAAGTATTTGTGTCACTCTTTGCTTTACTGTAACCTTAAGAAATTGTCTTACTGAATGATTCCCGTGCAGCACCACCCAGTGCAATATTTGCACTGAATATACTTGGTATCATTCAGTAAATGTTGAATAAAGTTTGGGTCAGAAAAATTGGAGTACCAGTCTAGAAGTTCTTGCTCATCAACACTGGGCTTTTATTGGTCAAGGCGATACTATGCCAAGCAAATGGATAATCCTTGCTACTTCGTGTTTTTTGGGGAAGGTTAAAAGGCTTAAAACACACATTTTGAGGGAGTACTATGAAAGTCATTAGGCATATATGGGTCTCTAAAGAGCATGTGTTTTTGTGTTTGTAATTATTAAGGTACAGAATCTTCAACAGTGTCTCCTTCTCAGTGTTTCCTGGTCCTAACACATGTGTTAGTAGAACTTGACTTGTGATATCCTGAATTGTGCTTTACCCATATCTCCAATTTTTCCCACAGGTAAGGATGAGGCTTACCTATGGACTTTGTTCAAGTTAATTCCTCCACCTTATCACTCAGCATTCAAATTTCCTCCTTAATAGGATGATGCCCAGATTCCACCCATCTCACCTGAGTTATTAATATTAGTCTAAAGGTTTGCATTCATAGACCCCTTTTTCACTCTTTTCCCTTCTGGAATCAAGCAGTTCATCAGTAAATAATCCTGGCTGGATAACACTGCAAATTTTTAGATATTCAAAAATATCAATTAAGTACTTATGAAATATCTGATCCTATTGTAGGTAATGGGAAATTACAGTGCCAGATAAGATAGACATGACATTTGCAGGTGAGTGAGGAGAATATATTACTTATTAGAGAGGCAGATAACAAGGTACAACTAAAAGAAGCCAGTCAGATTCTTGCCTTTTAAAAAGAAACAATCATGTTGGCTGTTTTCAAACAAAACTTACTCAGAACCCAAGTGTCTACAATGAACTCAAGTGTAGAGCACCCAGTGGGGAACTTAGCTAGTAGTACAACAGTCCTTGTGGCTTCCTTAACAGTAATAAAAACAAAGAGGTCATTAGGCAGCAGAATAGCCAATAATAATTACACCCAATGGGGAGATAAGGACAAAAATACAGGAAATTTCAATATTATCAGGGTAGACACAGTTCAGGAGTGGGGAGCAATGGGCCTTGGTCAGAGACGGCTTTCTGAAAGATACAGTTAACTGAAGCATGAGTAAGAATTGCTCATGGAGAAGGAATTATCACACACACAAAGCCCAAAAAATGAAAATTAGAGTGGAAAAGAGCGAGCAGTTGAGTTTACGGTTGGAGTGTAGAATGAGAAAGATGGAGGTGAATATTAAGAACTAGTGGCAAATCTTTGGTGAGTCCTATAAGCCATGGTACAGTACTTGGATTTTATTTATTTTAAGCATCAGAAAGCCACTGAAGGAGACTTTTTAGATGAGAATTATTTTAGAATGATTACTCTGATTTTGGGAAATAGTTTGTAGGAGATTAAGACTGCAAACACTGAGACAATTTTGGAGGCTTTGGGGTAAAATGATGGGGAGTGAGTGTCTTATAGACAGTGAATAGTTGGATTATATTTCTTCATTCATCTACCAATCTCTGCTTTTTAACTGAAGAGTCTCTTTACATTTAAAATACTGATAAGGAAGACTTCAATTCAGCCATTTTGCTATTTGTTTCCTGCATGTCTTACATGCTTTTTATTCCTCAATTTCAATATAACTGCCTTCTTTTGTGTTCAGTTGACTTTTTGTATTGTACTTTCTCTTTTCCTTTTCTGTATATTTTTAGTTATTTTCTTAGTGGTTACAATCAACATCTTAAACTTATAACGATCTAGTTTGAATTAATACCAACTTCGCTTCAATCATATACAAGAACTCTCCTCCTATATAGTTTCCTCCCTTCCCATTTATGTTGTTATCACAAATTACATTTTATACATTATGTGTGCCCATCAACACTGATTTATAAATATTGTTTTATGCATTGTTCTCTTAAATCATATAGAGAAAAATCCATTTCAACTGAAATATAAAGCCCATTCCACACGTAAATTTTGAGTAGCGTGTCTGTATGTATTCTAAATAGCACTTTGCACATTCAAGGCACCATTAAATATCACAGTGACCTTGTCAGAATAGAATGACATCAGATCTGAGTTCTAAGCACATTTCACATTGGCCTGAATAGCTTGTTTTCATTTTCCTGAAGCACTAAAGTTATGTTCCTGAACTTTTTCATATCAAGCATAGATAGAAAGTTCTAGTATTTGCACAGATTTCTGGGATATGTGACCAAGGTGGCTCACAACTTGAGTCCATTGGGCTTAGGGGCTCATGTCACCATAGGCTCTGACTCATCTTCATAAGGGTTGAAGGAATCAATAACTGGTCTTACTTGTTACCTGTTCTTAGTACATCAATTTAGAACCTAGGCTATTTTTCATCCAGCCTTTATTCTGGATGGAGAAGCAATCACTGAAGGGATTTGTTTAAAAAGGAAAAACAGTGTTCCATGTTGTAGGCAGAATATAAGGTGTTGTGTCCCCCAGTATTTCCCTTTCCCTTGTGTGCATTCCCTGAATAATCCCCAGGGCTGTGAAGATGATGCATTTTACTCCTATGATTAGGTTATATCATGTAGCACAGATGATTTTAAGACAGGGAGATTATCTAGTGGACCTGTCCTAATCACATAAGTGCTTTAGAAATAGAGTTTTCTCCAACTGGGAGCAGATGAGTAAGTCAGAGAGAGGTTATCCATCAGGCCTGGAATAAAGCAAACACCCACAGTGTGAACTGCCAATGGAGAGGGGTAGCCTCTGGAGCTGAGAGCATTGCATTCCCTAGCCAACAAATAGCAGAAAAATAGGGACCTCTGTCCTACAGCTGGAAGGAAATGAATTCTCCAACAACCTGAATGAGGTTTGAATTAATTTATTCCTTAGAGTTTCCAGAAAGGAATGCACCTCAGCCAACACCCTGAGTTTAGTTCAGTAAAACCCCTGAGCAGAAAAATGCAGCTATAGCATTCCTCAACTTCCATAGAACTGTGAGGTAATAAATTGTTGTTTTTTTTCAGCAGCTAAGTTTGTGATGATTTATTACATTGCCCTAAAAAACTAATATAGTCCCTTTCTCTGATGAGTTCAGATTTATAGAGACCCTCTTAGAGATAAACGTGTGATAACAAGGCTAAGCGGTTACTTTATGGGAGTCTATAATGAAAAGACCTTAACAAGACTTTATGTAACTACTATATTACTATATTACTACTGTATTACTACTGTGAGAGTCTCACCTAAAAGATGAGAATATTAGTTGTGTCAGTCACCAATCAATTATGGATAAAATGTCAGATGGGAAGTCATCACTGAATGGATGGCCATATAGGGTTAGAGGTGTGGGTACTTGATGGAAGAAGCAAAAGGAAGGAATAGCTGTCTTATAAGTAATAGGAAATACATTGATTCCTGTCATATGGAGACTTGGAGAATGGGTAAGTCAAGGTGCCTGGGAAGTTGTATTGGCCAGTACCTGGGGGCTGAAGCACAAGTAGCTAAGGAGGCAGAATAAGGCATGGGACATGGCTTAAGAGTCCTATAAGCAAGTTAACTAGTGTGGAATTGGCAAAAAAAAATATTTGGAAGCTTGGTTTTCTTGTATGTGTCTTGTACTTCTTTATTTTCTTTGTGTTCTTCATTCACATTTTTTCAAGTCTTAAAAAAATTTCAACCTTTTACAGCTGTGCTACGGGAAACCAAGCAATAAGGAAATTATTCACACTCATGCCAGAGATTTAATATGAAAATAGTGTTCCTCTGGAGGTCACGCATGATGGTTTAAGCTGGAAGAAAGGCTTCAGGAAAGTATTTCCTGTTAGGGGCCACTTCGGATAGGTTTAAACTTAGTTAATCTTAAGCACCCCTAGTGTGACTCATTTTTAATAAAAGGTTAGCATGAGGAAGCTTCTTTCTGGTAATGGAACAGTTTTGTACCCTGATGGTGATGGTAGTTACAAGTGATGAAATTTCATTTGAAATACCTCCAAAAATGAATGCATATAAAACTTAATAACATCTGAATCAGATCTAGAGTTTGGCTAATAGCATTGTACCAATGTTAATTTCCTGGTTTTCATAATGTTCTATGGTTACATAAGATGTTTCTACTGGGGAAATCTGGATGAGGGGTACACAGGAACTCTCTACTGTTTTGCAACTTCTTATGAGTCTTAACTTATTTCAAAATTAAAAATGTTTAACTGAAAAAAGAACTGGACACCCCTAGACTTCTGACACCATCCCAAACATTGCTTTCTTTTTTTTCTTTTTCCAATTTTTTTAAATTATACTTTAAGTTTTAGGGTACATGTGCACAACGTGCAGCTTTGTTACATATGTATACATGTGCCATGTTGGTATGCTGCACCCATCAACTGGTCATTTATATTAGGTATTTCTCCTAATGCTATCCCCCCTCCAGCCCTCACCCCGCAACAGGCCCCGGTGTGTGATGTTCCCTGCCCTGTGTCCAAGTGATCTCATTGTTCAATTCCCACCTATGAGTGAGAACATGTGGTGTTTGGTTTTCTGTCCTTGTGATAGTTTTCTGAGAATGATGGTTTCCAGCTTCATCCACGTCCCTGCAAAGGACATGAATTCATCCTTTTTCATGGCTACATAGTATTCCATGGTGTATATGTGCCACATTTTCTTAAACCAGTCTATCATTGTTGGACATTTGGGTTGGTTCCAAGTCTTTGCTATTGTGAATAGTGCTGCAATAAACATATGTGTGCATGTGCCTTTATAGCAGCATGATTTATAGTCCTTTGGGTACATACCCAGTAATGGGATGGCTGGGTCAAGTGGTATTTCTAGTTCTAGATACCTGAGGAATTGCCAAACTGACTGCCACAATGGTTGAACCAGTTTACAGTCCCACCAACAGTGTAAAAGTGTTCCTATTTCTCCACATCCTCTCCAGCACCTGTTGTTTCCTGACTTTTAATGATTGCCATTTTAACTGGTGTGAGATGGTATCTCATTGTGGTTTTGATTTGCATTTCTCTGATGGCCAGAGATGATGAGCATTTTTTCATGTGTCTGTTGGCTGCATAAATGTCTTCTTTTGAGAAATGTCTGTTCATATCCTTTGCCCACTTTTTGATGTGGTTGTTTGGTTTTTTTTGTAAATTTGTTAGAGTTCATTGTAGATTCTGGATATTAGCCCTTTGTCAGATGAGTAGGTTGCAAAAATTTTCTCCCATTCTGTAGGTTGCCTGTTCACTCTGATGGTAGTTTCTTTTGCTGTGCAGAAGCTCTTTAGTTGAATTAGATCCCATTTGTCAATTTTGGCTTTTGTTGCCATTGCTTTTAGTGTTTTAGACATGAAGTCCTTGCCCATGCCTATGTCCTGAATGGTAATGCCTAGGTTGTCTTCTAGGGTTTTTATGGTCTTAGGTCTAACATTTAAGTCTTTAATCCATCTTGAATTAATTTTAGTATAAGGTGTTAGGAAGGGATCCAGTTTCAGCTTTCTACATCTGGCTAGCCAGTTTTCCCAGCACCATTTATTAAATAGGGAATCCTTTCTCCATTGCTTGTTTTTGTCAGGTTTGTCAAAGATCAGATAGTTGTAGATATGCGGCATTATTTCTGAGGGGTCTGTTCTGTTCCATTGATCTATATCTCTGTTTTGGTACCAGTACCATGCTGTTTTGGTTACTGTAGCCTTGTAGTATAGTTTGAAGTCAGGTAGTGTGATGCCTCCAGCTTTGTTCTTTTGGCTTAGGATTGACTTGGTGATGCGGGCTCTTTTTTGGTTCCATATGAACTTTAAAGTAGTTTTTTCCAATTCTGTGAAGAAAGTCATTGGTAGCTTGATGGGGACGGCATTGAATCCACAAATTACCTTGGGTAGTATGGCCATTTTCACGATATTGATTCTTCCTACCCATGAGCATGGAATCGTCTTCCATTTGTTTGTATCCTCTTTTATTTCATTAAGCAGTGGTTTGTAGTTCTCCTTGAAGACATCCTTCACATCCCTTGTAAATTGGATTCCTAGGTATTTTATTCTCTTTGAAGCAACTGTGAATGGGAGTTCACTCATGATTTGGCTCTCTGTTTGTCTGTTATTGGTGTATAGGAATGCTTGTGATTTTTGTACATTGATTTTGTATCTTGAGACTTTGCTGAAGTTGCTTATCAGCTTAAGGATATTTTGGGCTGAGACCATGAGGTTTTCTAGATATACAATCATGTCATCTGCAAACAGGGACAATTTGACTTCCTCTTTTCCTAATTGAATGCCCTTTATTTCCTTCTCCTGCCTGATTGCCCTGGCCAGAACTTCCAACACTATGTTGAATAGGAGTGGTGAGAGAGGGTATCCCTGTCTTGTGCCAGTTTTCAAAGGGAATGCTTCCAGTTTTTGCCCATTCAGTATGATATTAGCTGTGGTTTTGTTATAAATAGCTCCTATTATTTTGTGATATGTCCCATCAATACCAAGTTTATTGAGAGTTTTTAGCATGAAAGACTGTTGAATTTTGTCAAAGGCCTTTTCTGCATCTATTGAGATAATCATGTGGTTTTTGTCTTTGGTTCTGTTTATATGCTGGATTACATAGACTGATTTGCGTATGTTGAACCAGCCTTGCTTCCCAGGGATGAAGCCCACTTGATCATGGTGGATAAGCTTTTTGATGTGCTGCTGGATTCGGTTTGCCAGTATTTTATTGAGGATTTTTGCATCGATATTCATCAGGGATCCAAACATTGCTTTCTGAAGTTGATCCAGACTAGGAGTTACGTGAAAAGTATTTTTACACAAAGTTTTAACAACTAGGAAACCTGCTAAACCCCAGTCCTATGACAGAATCACAGAGCACCTGGATATGAGAGGCTCTACCTCAGGCTTCTATGTTAATATCAGGGCTGTAAACACATTCTGAAGAAATACTAACCATATCTCTCAATCCTCTAACTTGCCCTTCTCTTTCCATCCCTAAACCAGTCAACTCTCCTATGGGAACTTATACCCAGAAGTGAGAAGCAGAGAGTGGTAAGGAAAGGTGAGCAGCATTATTATTGAGGAAATTACAAGACAAAGCCCTCAGGCTTTTGATTTACTGTCCTGCTGGTACATGTTATACACCACATAGCTTTGCTTTTTGTCACCTCTCTTCTAATCATCTGTGAGAGTTGATAATATGAGGCACTGTCCCAAAGGCTAGTGCATGATGTAGAAACAATGAGAGATCCATGTAGCAGAAGGTTCTGTCTACACTAAGCAGCTGTTCATCAGGGTTACCTCCCTCAACTGAGAGAATGCAGGCATCCAACATATCAGCTTCCTGTTTTACCATGCAAGCACTCTAGTCTTTTTTTTTTTCCAGGAGTACACATTTTCTTTCTCCCTATCTCCTTTTGTGTTTTGTTTTGTTTTGTTTTTTTTAAAAAAAACAGTCTTGCTCTTCATCAAAATCCAGGCTCCAAGAGCCCCAACAACCATGTCACTCACCCCTGGTTTAAAACAAAGAGAAATGAAAATGTATTTTAGAGAAGGGCAGGGGTGATATACATAAGAACCTTTTGCCTAGGCTAGTATTGTTGTAAGGTCGTTTTTAAAAACAGCTTGAGTTCTAAACTTAACCAGATGGAAATGTGCCTGCTGAGAGTTGGACCTAATTCAGAAAAGATTGTTAGCCAATAGATGAGGTATTTAGACCAGCATATGCCAAAAATGGTCAATCAAGTTGTCCCCAGTGTGACTCCCCCATAGCAGATGTCACTGTCTCTTTAAAGGCTTTTGAGTGTCATCCTTTAGCATGGAGGTGGGTTTTATACATGCACATATAGACATAAATAAAACCTGGGCCTGTAGCCACCCTTCATTTTATAGCACTATGGCCCTATCATTCTATCAGTAAAGAGCGTAAGCCTGCTCTTAGGGCTTTTAAATGAACACAGATTTTGCAAATCGAACAAAAGCTATGAGCATACACAATTAATTCCAAGCAGCTATCCTTGCTTTTCTCATCTTTTCATGTTCCTCTATTATAAAAGCAACAGAAATGTAATACCATAATTGTCCACATTCTCATCATCTAATAAAAGTCAATATTTGTATTTCTCCATGTTACCTTTTATTACTTGCCCTTTTTCTTATTCAACTTTTGACATTTTCAAAAATATAGATCAGAAATGGAACTTTGCCCTCCTTAAAATAGGCACACCCTGAAAAGACTATGGTTTCCCAAACCTGGAAAAATAAAGAGATACTCCAAATGCAATGATGACCATTACAGTGCTCTACAGTTCAAAAACCCTTTTATATCCATTTTCTCATTGCATCCTTATGACAAGCTTATAAGGCAGGCAGGGATCTAGGAAACTGACAAGCGCATAGGTTCTCTTACCATCCCCTCTCCCCAGCTAAACCAGAATAAAAGCCATTCCTGGGCAGGAGGTCAGTTTGAAGAGCTTCAGATGCACAGAGGAGGTTGAAGATTCTTCTAAGTGAACAGAATGACATTTGAACTGGATCTTAAAGAATGGGCAACATTTGGACTTGTAGAGATGGCAAGAGCAGAAACAGAAGGTATCACAGCCAAGGCAACACATGAGGAAAGCATGTGGCATATTAGGCAAACTGTTTTCTGGAGTGCAAGATACATGAATATGAATTGTAAGAAACAACGCTGAGAGATAGGCTGGTATCAGATCATGGAAGGTCTTAAATGTCATATTTAAAAGTTTAAATTGCTTTTAGTAGGCAGTATGGTTTTCAGAAGGAAAAATATGCCTTGTAGTATAGTTTGAAGTCAGGTAGCGTGATGCCTCCAGCTTTGTTCTTTTGGCTTAGGATTGACTTGGCAATGTGGTCTCTTTTTTGGTTCCATATGAACTTTAAAGTAGTTTTTTCCAATTCTGTGAAGAAAGTCATTGGTAGCTTGATGGGGATGGCATTGAATCTATAAATTACCTTGGGCAGTATGGCCATTTTCATGATATTGATTCTTCCTACCTATGAGCATGGAATGGTCTTCCATTTGTTTGTATCCTCTTTTATTTCATTGAGCAGTTCTTTGTAGTTCTCCTTGAAGAGTTCCTTCACGTCCCTTGTAAGTTGGATTCCTAGGTATTTTATTCTCTTTGAAGAAATTGTGAATGGGAGTTCACTCCTGATTTGGCTCTCTGTTTGTCTGTTGTTGGTGTATAAGAATGCTTGTGATTTTTGTACATTGATTTTGTATCCTGAGACTTTGCTGAAGTTGCTTATCAGCTTAAGGAGATTTTGGGCTGAGACAATGGGGTGTTCTAGATATACAATCATGTCATCTGCAAACGGGGACAATTTGACTTCCTCTTTTCCTAATTGAATACCCTTTATTTCCTTCTCCTGCCTCATTGCCCTGGCCAGAACTTCCAACACTATGTTGAATGGAGTGGTGAGAGAGGGCATCCCTGTCTTGTGCCAGTTTTCAAAGGGAATGCTTCCAGTTTTTGCCCATTCAGTCTGATATTGGCTGTGGGTTTGTCATAGATAGCTCTTATTATTTTCAGATACGTCCCATCAATACCTAATTTATTGAGAGTTTTTAGCATGAAAGGCTGTTGAATTTGGTCAAAGGCCTTTTCTGCATGTATTAAGATAATCATGTGGTTTTTGTCTTTGGCTCTGTTTATATGCTGGATTACATTTATTGATTTGCGTATATTGAACCAGCCTTGCATCCCAGGGATGAAGCCCACTTGATCATGATGGATAAGCTTTTTGATGTGCTGCTGGATTCGGTTTGCCAGTATTTTACTGAGGATTTTTGCATCAATGTTCATCAAGGATATTGGTCTAAAATTCTCTTTTTTTGTTGTGTCTCTGCCAGGCTTTGGTATCAGGATGATGCTGGCCTCATAAAATGAGTTCGGGAGGATTCCCTCTTTTTCTATTGATTGGAATAGTTTCAGAAGGAATGGTACCAGTTCCTCCTTGTACCTCTGGTAGAATTCAGCTGTGAATCCATCTGCTCCTGGACTCTTTTTGGTTGGTAAGCTATTGATTATTGCCACAATTTCAGAGCCTGTTATTGGTCTATTCAGAGAGTCAACTTCTTCCTGGTTTAGTCTTGGGAGAGTGTATGTGTCGAGGAATTTATCCATTTCTTCTAGATTTTCTAGTTTATTTGCATAGAGGTGTTTGTAGTATTCTCTGATGGTAGTTTATATTTCTGTGCGATCGGTTGTGATATCCCCTTTATCATTTTTTCTTGCGTCTATTTGATTCTTCTCTCTTTTCTTCTTTATTAGTCTTGCTAGTGGTCTATCAATTTTGTTGATCCTTTAAAAACACCAGCTCCTGGATTCATTAATTTTTTGAAGGGTTTTTTGTGTCTCTATTTCCTTCAGTTCTGCTCTGATTTTAGTTATTTCTTGCCTTCTGCTAGCTTTCAAATGTGTTTGCTCTTGCTTTTCTAGTTCTTTTAATTGTGATGTTAGGGTGTCAATTTTGGATCTTTCCTGCTTTCTCTTGTGGGCCTTCAGTGCTATAAATTTCCCTCTACACACTGCTTTGAATGTGTCCCAGAGATTCTGGTATGTTGTGTCTTTGTTCTCATTGGCTTCAAAGAACATCTGTATTTCTGCCTTCATTTCGTTATGTACCCAGTAGTCACTCAGGAACAGGTTGTTCAGTTTCCACGTTGTTGAGCGGTTTTGAGTGAGTTTCTTAATCCTGAGTTCTAGTTTGATTGCACTGTGGTCTGAGAGATAGTTTGTTATAATTTCTGATCTTTTACATTTGCTGAGGAGAGCTTTACTTCCAAATATGTGGTCAATTTTGGAATAGGTGTGGTGTGGTGCTGAAAAAAATATATATTCTGTTGATTTGGGGTGGAGAGTTCTGTAGTTGTCTATTAGGTCCACTTGGTGCAGAGCTGAGTTCAATTCCTGAGTATCCTTGTTAACTTTCTGTCTCGTTGATCTGTCTAATGTTGACAGTGGGGTGTTAAAGTCTCCCATTATTAATGTGTGGGAGTCTAAGTCTCTTTGTAGGTCACTGAGGACTTGCTTTATGAATCTGGGTGCTCCTGTATTGGGTGCATATATATTTAGGATAGTTAGCTCTTCTTGTTGAATTGATCCCTTTACCATTATGTAATGGCCTTCTTTGTCTCTTTTGATCTTTGTTGGTTTAAAGTCTGTTTTATCAGAGACTAGGATTGCAACCCCTGCCTTTGTTTGTTTTCCATTTTCTTGGTAGATCCTCCTCCATCCTTTTATTTTGAGCCTATGTGTGTCTCTGCATGTGAGATGGGTTTCCTGAATACAGCACACTAATGGGTCTTGATTCTTTATCCAATTTGCCAGTCTGTGTCTTTTAATTGGAGCATTTAGTCCATTTACATTAAAGTTAATATTGTTATGTGTGAATTTGATCCTGTCATTATGATGTTAGCTGGTTATTTTGCTCGTTAGTTGATGCAGTTTCTTCCTAGCCTCGATGGTCTTTACAATTTGGCATGATTTTGCAGTGGCTGGTACCGGTTGTTCCTTTCCATGTTTAGTGCTTCCTTCAGGAGCTCTTTTAGGGCAGGCCTGGTGGTGACAAAATCTCTCAGCATTTGCTTGTCTGTAAAGTATTTGATTTCTCCTTCACTTTTGAAGCTTAGTGTGGCTGGATATGAAATTCTGGGTTGAAAATTCTTTTCTTTAAGAATGTTGAATATTGGTCCCCACTCTCTTCTGGCTTGTAGAGTTTCTGCCGAGAGATCCGCTGTTAGTCTGATGGGCTTCCGTTTGTGGGTAACCTGACCTTTCTCGCTGGCTGCCCTTAACATTTTTTCCTCCATTTCAACTTTGGTGAATCTGACAATTATGTGTCTTGGAGTTGCTCTTCTCAAGGAGTATCTTTGTGGCGTTCTCTGTATTTCCTGAATCTGAATGTTGGCCTGCCTTGCTAGATTGGGGAAGTTCTCCTGGATAATATCCTGCAGAGTGTTTTCCAACTTGGTTCCATTCTCCCCGTCACTTTCAGGTACACCAATCAGACGTAGATTTGGTCTTTTCACATAGTCCCATATTTCTTGGAGGCTTTGTTCATTTCTTTTTATTCTTTTTTCTCTAAACTTCCCTTCTTGCTTCATTTTATTCATTTCATCTTCCATCACTGATACGCTTTCTTCCAGTTGATCACGTCGGCTCCTGAGGCTTCTGCATTCTTCACGTAGTTCTTGAGCCTTGGCTTTCAGCTCCATCAGGTCCTTTAAGCACTTCTCTGTATTGGTTATTCTAGTTATACATTCTTCTAAATTTTTTTCAAAGTTTTCAACTTCTTTGCCTTTGGTTTGAATTTCCTCCTGTAGCTCAGAGTAGTTTGATCGTCTGAAGCCTTCTTCTCTCAACTCGTCAGTCATTCTCCGTCCAGCTTTTTTCCATTGCTGGTGAGGAGCTGCATTCCTTTGGAGGAGGAGAGGCGCTTTGCTTTTTAGAGTTTCCAGTTTTTCTGCTCTGTTTTTTCCCCACCTTTGTGGTTTTATCTACTTTTGGTCTTTGATGATGGTGATGTACAGATGGGTTTTTGGTGTGGATGTCCTTTCTGTTTGTTAGTTTTCCTTGTAACAGACAGGACCCTCAGCTGCAGGTCTGTTGGTGTTTGCTAGAGGTCCACTCCAGACCCTGTTTGCCTGGGTACCAGCAGCGGTGGCTGCAGAACAGCTGATTTTCATGAACACAAATGCTGCTGTCTGATGGTTCCTCTGTAAGTTTTGTCTCAGAGGAGTACCCGGCCGTGTGAGGTGTCAGTTTGCCCCTACTGGGGGGTGCCTCCCAGTTAGGCTGCTCGGGGGTCAGGGGTCAGGGACCCACTTGAGGAGGCAGTCTGCCCATTCTCAGATCTCAAGCTGCATGCTGAGAGAACCACTGCTCTCTTCAAAGCTGTCAAACAGGGACATTTAAGTCTGCAGAGGTTACTGCTGTCTTTGTGTTTGTCTGTGCCCTGCCCCCAGAGGTGGAGCCTACAGAGGCAGGCAGGCCTCCTTGAGCTGTGGTGGGCTTCACCCAGTTCGACCTTCCCAGCTGCTTTGTTTACCTAAGCAAGCCTGGGCAATGGTGGGCTCCCCTCCCCCAGCCTCGCTGCCACCTTGCAGTTTGATATCAGACTGCTGTGCTAGCAATCAGTGAGACTCCATGGGTGTAGGACCCTCCGAGTCAGGTGCGGGATATAATCCCCTGGTGTGCCATTTTTTAAGCCCATCGGAAAAGTGCAGTATTCAGGTGGGAGTGACCCGATTTTCCAGGTGCCGTCTGTCACCCCTTTCTTTGACTAGGAAAGGGAACTCCCTGACCCCTTGCACTTCCTGAGTGCGGCAATGCCTCGCCCTGTTTCTGCTCACACAGGGTGGCTACAGTAACCAAAACAGCATGGTACTGGTACCAAAACAGAGATATAGACCAATGGAACAGAGCAGAGCCCTCAGAAATAACTCTGCATATCTACAACTATCTGATCTTTGACAAACCTGAGAAAAACAAACAATGGGGAAATGATTCCCTATTTAATAAATGGTGCTGGGAATACTGGCTAGCCAGATGTAGAAAGCTGAAACTGGATCCCTTCCTTACACCTTATACAAATATTAATTCAAGATGGATTAAAGACTTAAACGTTAGACCTAAAACCATAAAAACCCTAGAAGAAAACCTAGGCAATTCCATTCAGGACATAGGCATGGACAAGGACTTCATGTCTAAAACACCAAAAGCAATGGCATCAAAAGCCAAAATTGACAAATGGGATCTAATTAAACTAAAGAGCTTCTGCACAGCAAAAGAAACTACCATCAGAGTGAACAGGCAACCTACAGAATGGGAGAAAATTTTTGCAACCTACTCATCTGACAAAGGGCTAATATCCAGAATCTACAATGAACTCTAACAAATTTACAAGAATAAACAAACAACCCCATCAAAAAGTGGGCGAAGGACATGAACAGACACTTCTCAAAAGAAGACATTTATGCAGACAAAAAACACATGAAAAAAATGGTCACCATCACTGGCCATCAGAGAAATGCAAATCAAAACCACAATGAGATACCGTCTCACACCAGTTAGAATGGCAATCATTAAAAAGTCAGGAAACAACAGGTGCTGGAGAGGATGTGGAGAAATAGGAACACTTTTACACAGTTGGTGGGACTGTAAACTAGTTCAACCCTTGTGGAAGTCAGTGTGGTGATTTCTCAGGTATCTAGAACTAGAAATACCATTTGACCCAGCCATCCCATTACTGGGTATATACCCAAAGGACTATAAATCATGCTGCTATAAAGACACATGCACACGTATGTTTATTGCAGCACTATTCACAATAGCAAAGACTCGGAACCAACCCAAATGTCCAACAATGATAAACTGGATTAAGAAAATGAGGCACATATACACCATGGAATACTATGCAGCCATAAAAAATGATGAGTTCATGTCCTTTGTAGGGACATGGATGAAATTGGAAATCATCATTCTCAGTAAACTATTGCAAGAACAAAAAACCAGATACCACATATTCTCACTCATAGGTGGGAATTGAACAAAGAGAACACATGGACACAGGAAGGGGAACATCACACTGTGGGGACTGTTGTGGGGTGGGGGGAGGGGGGAGGTATAGCTTTAGGAGATATACCTAATGCTAAATGACGAGTTAATGGGTGCAGCACACCAGCATGGCAGATGTATACATTTGTAATTAACCTGCACATTGTGCACATGTACCCTAAAACTTAAAGTATAATAATAAAAAAAAATAAAATAAATAAAAGAGACATGAAACATAAAAAAAGAAGGAAAAATATGCCAGAGAGATTTTTTTTGCATTATTTAGTTTCTATTACCCTCTAATTATGTGACCTTGAGCAAGTTAACCTCCCTGTGTTCCAGTTTTCTCATCTGTAAAATGGGTATAATAGTACCTACTCTAGAGTATTATTGTGGGTATTAAATGAGATAATGCATGTCAAGCACTTAGGACAGTGCCTGGCACACAGTCGGCAACTTGTAAATGCTAGCTGTTGTTATTCTTATCTTAATTTATCTCCATTGTCAGGCTCTCTTTCCTAAACTGTAGAATGAGGAAGCTGGACTATATCAATTTACTTCCTAAATTCCCTAGACATCTTCAACACTATTTATCATCACCATCTTCTTGTTCCCTCTTGTACTATGCTATCCGGAAACCCCACCTCTAAGCTAGTGGAAATTTTATCATTTTGTAAAGAGAGAGTGAAGTTAGAAGAGGTGATTACAAGAACCTTGAATATTTCATCCAGATGATATAACTAAAAGTCTTTAGCTAAGAATCTGCAAGCTTCGTTTAGGATTATCACAATCCCAATTTATTAAAGAATACCATCACTCTGGATAACAACAGACCCCAACAATATTTACAGACCATACATACATACATCTGATAAGGGGTTAATATCTAAAATTTGTGAGGAACACAAAGAACTCAATAGGATGAAAACAGGCCAATTTAAAAATGAGAAAAAGACCTGCATAGATATTTCTCAAAAGAAGACATACAAATGGCCAACAGGTATATGAAAAAATGGTCAACATCACTAATCATCAAATGTAATGCAAATTAAAATCACAATGACCATGGACACAGGGAGGGAAACAACACACACTGGGGCCTGTCATCTCCAGGGAGATGGAGAGCATCAGGATAAGTAGCTAATGCATGCCAGGCTTAATACCTAGTTGATGGGTTGACAGGTGCAGCAAACCACCTTGGCACATGTTTACCTGTGTAACAAACCTGCATGTCCTGCACATGTATCCCAGAACATAAGACAAAATTAAATTAAATTTAAAAGAAAACACAATAAACTATCACCTCATACCTGTTAGGATGGATATTATCAAAAAGATGAACTATAACAAGTGTTGGTGAGGATGTGCAGAAAAGGAAACACTTGCATGCTTTTGGTCGGAATGTAAATTAGTACAGCCATTATTGACAATGGTATGAAGGTTCCTCAAAAACTTAAAAATGGAATTACCATATGATCCAGCAATCCCACTCACGGGATTATAGCCAAAGGAAATGAAATCAGTATGTTGAAGAGATATCTGCACTCCCACGTTCATTGTAACATTATTCACAATAGCCAAGATATGGAATCAACCTAAGTGTCCATCGATTGTGTGTGTGTGTGTGTGTGTGTGTGTGTGTGTGTGTATATATATATATAAAATGAAACATTATTCAACCTTAAAAAGAAATTCTGTCATTTGCAACAACATGGATGAACCTGGAGGACATTATACAAAGTGAAATAAGCCAGGCACAGAAATACAAATACTGCATGATCTCAGTTATATGTGGAATCTAGAAAAGTGGAACTCATACAAGCAGAGAGTAGAATGATAGTTCCCGGGAGCTGGGGGGAGTGAAGGACTTGGGAGATGTTGGTCAAACCGTGCAAAATTTTAATTTAACAGGATGAATAAGTTCTAGAGGTCTAACGTATAGCATGGTGACTATAGTTAATGATATATACTTGATAATTGCTGAGAACATAGATCTTAAATGTTCTCATCACACCAAAAAAAGGATAGATGAGGAAATGAAGGCATAGAGAGGGAAATGTCTTTTAAGGTCACATAGCTTGTTAGTAATAGAACCAATACTCGAACCCAGGTTTCCAATACTGTCCTTGTTCTTACCACCACAAATCACCACCTTAATTACATCACTTAGAGCAGTGATCTCCAACCTTTTTGGCACCAAGGACTGGTTTCCTGGAAGACAATTTTTCCATGGACGGTGGCGGGGGATGGGGGGAATGGATTCAGGATGAAACTGTTCCACCTCAGATCATCAGATATTAGATTCTCATAAGAAGTGTGCAACCTAGATCGCTCACATGTGTAGTTCACAATAGGGTTCTTGCTCCTATGAGAATCTAATGCCGCCACTAATCTGACAGGAGGCGGAACTCACTCCCCCGCTGCTCACTTCCTGCTGCCTGGCCCAGTTTCTAACAAGACATACATCTGTACTCTTCTGTGGCCTGGGAGTTGGGGACTCCTGATTTAGAGAGGTAGAAACCTGTTAATCTGCCTAGTTTCATTCAAAGAGGCAGACTGAACCTGCCAGAAAATTGACAGCCCATTTGGCTCTCTGTAGAAATAATAAGATGAAACAATAGAACGTTGTGGGAAACCAGTTAAAACCATAACAAAAAGTGAGACCTTACCTTATGTGAGAACATTCTGCCCTTCCCAATTTGCATGGAAAACTAAAGACAGACCTCAGCTGTTTTTGTTGCAAATGAGTAAGAGGTAGAAAGATTCTGAATCTTTAGTTAAGATACATGGATTAATATTTTAAATGACTGAAGAATCTTTGCTACATCCAGAAAATGTTTCAAGACATTAGGAAAAATTTATCACACTTTGTGCTAATCTATTTGCACTCAGCACATTAGGCCCTGCACTAAAGTTGTGTTTTTTTATCTCACAGATTACTACACTATAAGCTCCTTGAGGGCAAACAGGACATTTTTCTCATTTGAGTCCTCTTTGGGGTGAATTTGCCTTGGACTTTGCACATAATAAACACTGGATTAATAACTACTCGTTCTGTGAATTAATCAGCTTTTATTGGTTATAACTTAAACCACTGATTTTCATTGTGTTTCCTATTTTTGTTAAGTGAAATGGGAAGGCCATATTGCCCCTTCCTATAGTAAAAAATTAATCATAGAGTAAAATTAAGTTCGTAAATCTAAGTGGACAGCTAAAATCTCTAGCAACTCTCATTGGATGGCATTTGTGACCTTTAAAAGTCTCTGCCCTTCATATACACCATGGAATACTATGCAGCCATAAAAAAGAATGAGTTCTTGTCCTTTGCCGGGACATGGATGAAGCTGGAAACCATCATTCTCAGAAAACTAACAAAGAACAGAAAACCAAACACCACATGTTCTCACTCATAAGTGGGAGTTGAACACTGAGAACACATGGACACAGGGAGGGGAACATCACACACCAGGGCCTGTTGGGGGGTGGAGGGCAAGAGGAGAGAGAGCATTAGGACAAATACCTAATGCATGCGGGGCTTAAAACCTAGATGATGGGTTGATGGGTGCAGCAAATGTATACCATTGTACATGTATACCTATGGCACATGTATACCTATGTAACACACCTGCACATTCTGCACATGTATCCCAGAACTTAAAGTATGATAAAAATAAAAGTCTCTGTCCTTTTCTGTTTATCTCTTTATGTAAGAACAAGAAACAAAGTTGTATGGAAAAGTTTTTTTAATGAATATTTTTAATTGAAAGAACTCTACCTGTTAACAGTTTCAAGCAGTCCAAATGTTAATGATCATTTTTGGTGTTCACCCTAATAATAATAATTATTGATCACATTATTTGAAAACAGTTGTTTCATGTAATCCTTATTACAATCCATTTTATAGCTGGTGAAACAGTTTTGGTTACTTTAAGGAGCTTGTCTAAGGTCATGAGGGATCTGAATCCCCAAGACTAACTGATAACAGAGCCAGTAACCTCCACTAACTATGTTATATTCCTCTCAAAGCCTTGTTTGAGGTTTTCTATACCTGAGAGAAAGCCACCATGTGGGGAAATTGGCCGTGAAAGAAATCATAAGTTAAGGAATGATTTTTAAGGAAAACTTCATCCTCATTGTATTAAAAGGGATTGTAGCTTAAATTATAAACAGCTCAAAAATCCTTGATTACATAAAAAGAGACCAATAGCTTTTTGTTTCAAAAGGATGTTTACTAGAGATACTTAATTTCTGATCTCACGCTCATTTTTTCAACACAGGGTACTCTTTGTACTTTTTGATTTGTACTGAGAATTGTTATTAATACTTATCAGAAAATGACCTGTTTTTCCCCTGTAACTCTGTCATTTTAAATGAGTTCCTGCATTATTAAGTGTGTGTTTTAAAATTTGTCATTTGGTCCCAATTCTTCCTATTAGAGAAGCCATTTCTGGTTTTGTAATGAAAGGCATTGAAAATGTGATTTGATTAACAAATGTGCTTCATGGTAAGGCAGATTTTGTTTAAAGTAAATATATTCAAATCACAGGTTAGGAAGACGTGATTTCCTAGAACCATAAAATATTGGCATTGAAAGGGAAATTAGAGGTCATTGAGACTGACCCTCCATCTCAGATTATTAACTACATCCCTGACATTTTTCTTGGAAAAGTGCTTTCTTGTTGTTTGCTGTAGCCTTAATGCAAGTTATTCAACTCAGCAGTAGATTTAGGCTTCATTTTAGAAGGTACATAATAGTACAATTTAAAGCAATGACTCACTTTTTTACCCTTCAGATTAATTTTGCATCTACATAAGGAAACTAAGTAATGGTTTCTTAAAATTTGCCAGAGCTAATTGAAGTAGATACTTGTGAGGTCATTGGGAGACATGTCATTTACTATTCAGTTGGCTAGTCATGAATATTGCTGAGTTATTTTTTGCCAGACTGTATTTAAAAAGAGAATGATGGTGTTTTATGTTAACAAAAATGACCAACTTATTCTAGGAATTTTTCCTTTGCTAAAACATATATAATTATTTTAAAAAGACACGAATATGAACTTTCAAAGTGTTTTTACTTAGTGATAAGTGTATGTGTAGTAACCATAATTTTAAATAAAAATCAAGTCCCTTTTCACCCAAAAACTAAAAGTAATTTACTTAAAGAAGTGAGTTTTCATCTTCGGCTTCCTATTTGTTTGTAAATTTGAAGAGAAAGACTAATATTATATTTTATATATTTCAAAATTCTTCTCAACTCAAAATGAATTTGTCTAATGGGAGAAAACATTACCCCTTTATCTGTGCAAAAAGGGGTCTTGAATTAAAACCAAGATCCATCACTGTGGGTATCTGAATCCATGTGTTTATAAGGTTTCTATTCATTTGCAGTGTCACTTTGCTGACAGGCTCAATAGCAAGACTATATTGTTGAAGGATTGATCATTGACAAATATTTTCAGAATACCTGCTTTGTACCAAGTGCTTTGCAAGGGGTTGGGGATATAAAGATTATTCCACCCCAGAACCAGTCCCTAACCTTAAGTTTACTGGGGGAGCCAGAGATGTTTAAATGAAAGCAACAATAGTGCAATATACAGAACATAGAGCACAAATTGACTACCCCTGCCTTAGGAAGTCAGAGATATCTTCACAAAGGAACTGACTTATGAATTAGACTAATGGATAAATAGGAGCTTACCAGTCAGAGAGAATAGAAAGACATTCCAAGCAAAGAGAATAAAATGTGTGAAGGCATAAGTGTATGACTGAGCATGGCCTATTCAGGATATCTTAAGAAGGTTAGTGTGATTAGAGGGCACATGTGTGGAAATTAAGTGGAAGGAGATGAGGCTGAAAGAATGGATCAGAGAAGATGCTTTCCCTGTAGTTTTGAGATGCCATTAATGTTTGTTTAGCAAGGGAATAATAGGATCAGTTTCGTATTTTTTAAAGATCACAACAGCTGTGCTATGAAAGATTAAATAGAGTCAACAAGACTGAAAGTAGAGAAACTGGTGAGGCTTCTACAGTGGTAGAGAATGAGGGTTTCACCTAGAGTAGTAGAAGTAGGAACAAAAGGGAAAAGTGTATATTCATGCGAGATATTTTACATAAAGTAGACTTGGACGAGGGAGATGAGAGATGCAAGGGTGACTCAGATTTCCAGGGAACAGAATGGAATTGCATGGAAGGTAAAAAGTTCAGTTTGAAGTGCCTATAGAATAGCTGGGTAGAGAGAACATATTGGCGTATTTATTTGATTTGGAAATATATTCCAGGTAGTGTTATGCCAAGATGCTTGCGGACATTTATGTCAGATTCTGTCTTTCAGCTTTGACTAGAACCAACTGTTGAAAAATCTCTCAGAGAAAGACAGAGCTACATGCTCCAGTGTGAAGGTACTTTGTAAACCTTTGAGACCTGTTGATCTGATCTGCTGAGAACACTTTTCCAAGGTGTTTTACTCTAGGTAATTAGGAACTATCATTTATATACCACATGAGTCTCAGAAAGCATTCAATGCACATACATTGATTCCTAGGTGCTTATCAGATAAGTGCCTTCTTTCTAGGCTAGGAACTGTATTAGATGTTGAGGTATCAAGGTCAGTAAGATTTAGTCTCATTCCCCTAAAATGGTCAGGGCCTAGTGAGAAGTATACAGAGACCTTTCTAAGATCTCTCAAATATTGAAATCATCTCCCTATTCTCCCAGAGTTTAACTCAGATTTAGGAGGAGACTGAGTAAGTTTTGAAAAGCAGAGTTCACTGTCTTTCTAACTTAAGGTTATGCCAAGATGAAATTCTCACACACAGACTTCAGCTTTATAAGCTATTGTTTTACAATTTCATTGTAAGAAATGGACTATTGGTATTAATTTAGAAATGCTTGTGTCATATAGACTTTGCCTTCATTTTGGGAGAATGGAATTCTACTTATAGTAGCTAAAGTACCAGGGTCATTAGTGTGCTTAATATCCACCACACTGATTATACCTTTTTCTGCTTTTTAAAAAACTTTTCTTATTTTTCTTTTTTCTGTAAGTGATGGAAGGTCTCAAAGCAAGAATGTGTCTGCTGAAAGAGTGACCTAGGCTGTTGTGCTTGCTCTTAGAGCAAGTAGTGTCTCTTTTTCTTTTCTTTAAAAAAACATTTTCTTCTATTTCTGGAGTTTTTATTTCATCTCAGTTGATAAAAAGAAGGCATTTGACAAAAATCCAACACTGTCTCTTGATAAAAATACTCAGTAAACTAGGAATAGAAGGGAACCTCTTCAACATTAATAAAGGCCACATATGAAAACCCACAGCTAACATCATACTCAGTTGTGCAACTGTGAAAGTTTTTCCCATAAGATCAGGAACAAAACAAAGATGTTTACTTTCATCACTTCTATTCAACATTGTAATGGAAGTTCTAGCCATAGCAATTAGGCAAGAAAAATAAATAAAAGCATCCAAATTGGAAAGCAAGAAGTAACACTATCTCTATTCACAGATGACATGATCTTAAATTCCAGAAACCCTAAAGAATCCACACCTAAGGCCAAGGTGTGCTAACCCACGCCTGTAATCCTAACACTTTGGGAGGCCAAGGTGGGAGGATCACTTCAGCCCAGGAGTTCAAGGCTGAAGTGAGCTATGATTGTGCCACTGCACTCCAGCCTGGGCGACAGAATGAGACCCTGTATCTAAGGAAAAAAAGAATACCCACCCCAATAAAAACCGCTATTAGAGCTAATAAACAAATTCAACAACATCATAGGCTACAATATCAAAAAGAAAAAAATCACTGGTATTTTTACATGCTGGCAATGAGAAGTCCAAACATGAAATTAAACAACTCCATTTATAATAGCACCAAAAATAGTAAAATATTTAGGAAGAAATTTAACAAAAGAAGTGTGAAACTTATATTCTAAAATTGCTATAAAATATGAAAGAAGACTTAAATAAATGAAAAGACATCCCATGTTCATGGATCAAGAATTTTAGTATTGTTAAGGTGGCAATACTCCTCAAATTGATCTATAGACCCCATCAAAATTCCAGCTGGATTCATTACATGAATTGACAAGCTGATCATAAAATTTATAAGAAAATTCAAGAATCCAAAACATTCTTGAAAAAGAAAAAAGCTAGAGGATGCACACTTCCTGATTTCAAAATTTACTACAAAGATACAGTAATCAAGACAGTGTGGTACTGGTTTAAAAATAGAAATATAAATCAGTGGAATGCAATTGAGAGTCATTTGCTTTTCAATAAGAGTACCAGGACAATCTGATGGAGAAACAAGTCTTTTTCTCAACACATGGTACTGGGACAACTGGATATTCATCTGCAAAATAATGTGGCTGGATGCCTACCTCACCCCTTGTAAAAACATTAAGTCGAATCGATCATAGACTTACATGTAAGTGCTAAAGCTATAAAACTCTTAGAAGAAAACATATACATAAATCTTTGTGGATTAGACAATAGTTTCTGAGATATGACATCAATAGCACAAGGGGAGAAAGCAGAAATAGATAAATTGGACTTCATAAAAATTAAGGTCTTTTGTGTGTTGTCAAGAAAGTAAAATGAGAACCTAAAGAATGGGAGAAAATATTGGCAAATTACATTTTTGCCAAAAGAATTTAATGTAGAATATATAAGAACACTTTCAGCTCAATAATAAGAAGACATAAGTCAATTAAAATGCAAAAAGAATCTGAATAAACATTTTTCCAAAGAATATATACAAATGGCCAATAAATACATAAAAAGATGCTCAACATCATTATCCACTAGGGAAATGAAAATTAGAACCACAGTGATCTACCATTTCACACCCACTAGGATGGCTATAATAAAAAAAGGCAGGGGGGAGGGGTCAAGATGGCAGACTAGAAGCAGTTCCTGTTCACTGCTCTCATGGAGAGGAAACAATAGGGCTAGTGAACACTGACACTGCAGGACAATCATCTCAGACACCACGTTGGGATCCATCAAGGCAGTAGGGGGCCACAGAGAGCAGAGAGGAGTGAAGCTTGGCACCAGCCTTTCTGGGCTAAGCAGGGGGCCAGGAGAACCTCTCCAGCATGTGAAAGGGTGAGTGAGTGAGATACCCCTGGGGGATTCATGCTCTCCACAGGGACCTGTGCAAGACTGGGAATGGGAAAATTCCCCTCACCCCCTGCACTTCTCCCCACTGCACTTCTAGACTCAGCCAGAGAGCCACCTAGACATTTTGCAGGGGCAACTCCTGAGTCCTGGGGTGGGGGCTCTACAATCCTTGGACCCTGGAGCAGACCAGCACTAGTGCCATAGCCCCAGTAGAGGCTGCACTTGCAGTGCTGGGAACAGAAAGATTGTTCCATCCCCCCTCACCAGATGGGGCTTGGCACCAGCTTCTGGCCCAGTGGTTCCACTTCTGCCTGAACTCATCTAGCAATTTTTGTTGTCTTGGGATGCATCCAAATGTCAGAGTTGGTGACCCCACCCAACCCCACCACTGGTAGCCAGGCATACAATGCCTGCTAAAGCTTCTGTCCCAGCAGTCCCACTTGTCTGTGAACTCACCTGGTGGATGCAGCCTCCTGCTGTCACAGGAAGCACATGGACAGCAGGGCATGTGACCTCACTCACCCCCACCACTGGTAGCCAGACAGGTAATGCCTGCTAGACCTTTTAGCCCAGTGATCTGTCTTCTGCCTAAACCCAGCTAGTATGCTCAGACTCCTGTTATCCTGGTAAACACCCAGACGGCAGGACAGATGACCCCATCCATCCCCACTGCTGGTAGACAGGAAGGCAATGCTGGCTAGAGCTTCCAGCCCAGCAGTCTCAATTCTATCTGAATTTAGCTGGTGGGCACAGCCTCCTGTTGTCCTGGGAAACACCTGGACAGCAGGGTTGGTGACTCCACCCACCCTTGCCTCTCATAGCCAGGTGAGGCATGCCTGCTGGAGATTCCAGCCTACAGGTCCTACCTCTGCCTGAATTTGCTGAGGGGCACCACCTCGTGTTTTCCTGGAAACACTCAGATGACATCTCAGGCAACTCAACCTATTCCTGCCCCTTGTAACCAGATAGACCACACCTATAAGAGCTTCCAGTCCAAGGTTTCCCCTTCTGTCTGAACTCTGCAAGCAGGCACAACCCCATGTCCCCCTGCAGGAAGCACTCAGGCAGCAAATCAGCACCACCTTGGCAAGGATATAGTATGTCTGCTAACAGCAGATCCTACCAAAAGGAGCGCTGTGGACCAGAACACCCAACAAAAGAAACATGGGCATGCAGACAGTAATTGAAGGGGGCTCCTCCAAGATCCAGGAGCACACTAAAATCAAAGCCAGTAGACTGAACCCAGTTTATATGGCAATCAAACACTTAAGGGCATCAAAGAAATTAAAAGAAAAAAAAACCCATCCAAAGGACAACTTCAAAGATTGAAGGAACATCAGCCCACACAGATGAGAAAAATATAAAGCAACCACACAAACAAGTCTGCATAATAACCAGCTAACAATATGATGACAGGATTAAATTCATATTTATCAATATTAATACTAACCTTGAATGTAAATTGACTAAATGCCCAAGTCACAAAGTGGCAAGTTGGATAAAGAAACAAAACCCACTGATATGCTGTCTTCAAGAGGCCCATCTCACACACAGTGAAACCCATAGCCTCAAAGTAAAGGGATGGAGAAAAATCTACCAAGCAAATGGAAAACAGAAAAAAGCAGGATTCATTATTCTAATTTCAGAAAAAAAGCAGATTTAAAACCAACAACCATCAAAAAAGACAAGGGCATTACATAATGGTTAAGGGCTCAATTCAACAAGAAGACCTAAATAACCTAAATATATATGCAACCAACACAGGAGCACCCAGATTCATAAAACAAGTTCTTAGGCAAATACAAAGAGACTTAGATAACCACACAATAATATTAGGGGGCTTCAATGCTCCATTGACAGTACTAGATCATCATGGCAGAAAAACTAACAAAGCTATTTGGGACCTGAACTCAACATTTGACCAAATGGGCCCAACAGACATCTATAGATCTCTCCACACAAAACAACAGAATATACATCCTTCTTATCTGCACATGCCACATACTCTAAAATCAACTACACAACCAGCCTTTTAAAAAAATCCTCAGAAAATTTCAAAAAAAATCAAAATCATACCAAGCATACTCTCCAACCACAATGCAATAAAAATAGAAACCAACATGGCACATCTATACATATGTAACAAACCTGCACGTTGTGCACATGTACCCTAGAACTTAAAGTATAATAATAAAAAATAAATAAATAAATAAAAATTACTCAGTGTATTTCAAAAAAAAATCAATACTAAGAAAATCACACAACACCATACAATTACATCGAAATTAAACAACCTACTAACAAATGACTTTTGGGTAAACAAGCAAATTAAGGCAAAAATCAAGAAATTCTTTGAAACTAATGAGAACAAAGAGGCTTCATACCAGAATCTCTAGGACACAGCTAAGGCACTGTTAAGAGGGAAGTTTACAGTGCTAAATGCCCACATCAAAAAGTTAGAAAGATTTCAAATTGGCAACCTAACATCATACCTAGAGGAACTAGAGAAATACCAGCAAATCAACCACAAAGCTAGCAGAAGACAGGAAATAACCAGAATCAGAGCTTAACTGAAGGAAATTGAGATGCAAAAAATCATACAAGAGATCAACGAATCCAGTAGTTTGTTTTTTGAAAGAATAAATAAGATTGAGAGATGGATAGCTAGACTAAAAACACAAAAGAGAGAAGCTCCAAATAAACACAATCAGAAATGACAAAGGGGACATTACCACTGACCCTACAGAAATACAACAAACTCTCAGAGACTATTATGAACATCTCTATGCACACAAACTAAAACATCTAGAAGAAATGGTTAAATTCCTGGAAACATACAACATCACAAGATTGAACGAGGTAGATATTGAAGTCCTGAATGGACCAGTAACAAGTTCCAAAATTGAATCAGTAATAAAAAGCCTACCAACCAGAAAAAAAGCCCTGGACCAGATAGATTCATAGCCAAATTCTACCAGATATATAAAGAAGAATTGGAACCATTCCTGCTGAAACTATTCCCAAAAATTGAGTAGGAGGGACTCTTCCCTACTCATTTTATGAGGCCAGCATCATCTTGATACCAACGTCTGGCAGAGATGAAAAAAAAAAAACACTTCAGGCAGATATCCTTGATGAACATAGATGAAAAAATCCTCAATGAAATACTAGCAAACCAAATCCAGTAGCACATCAAAAAGATAATCCACCAGGATTAAGTAGGCTTTATCCCTGGGATGCAAGGTTGGTTCAACATATGGAAATCAATATATAGGATTCACCACATAAACAGAACTAAAAACAAAAAACACATGATCATCTCTATAGATGCAGAAAAGGCTTCTGATAAATTACAACAGCTTTTCTTGTTAAAACCCTCAACAAACTATACATTGAAGGAACACACCTCAAAATAATAAGAGCCATTTATGACAAACCCATAGCCAACTTCATACCAAATGGGAAAAAGCTGGAAGCATTGCCCTTGAGAATGGGAACAAGACAAGGATGCCCACTTTCACTACCCCTATTCCACATAGTAATGGAAGTTCTAGACAAAGCAACCAGGCAAAAGAAAGAAATAATGGCATCCAAATAGAAAGAAAGGAATTAAAATTATCCCTGTTTGCAGATGATATAATTCTATAACTAGAAAACCCCAAAGTTTCTTCCCAAGAGTTCTGAGATCTGAAAAACAACTTCAGCAAGATTCTGAATACAAAAATGAATGTACAAAAATCAGTAGCATTCCTATACATCAACAACATGCAACCTGAGTACCAAATCAAGAATGCAATCCTATTCACAATAGCCATAAAAAGAATACTGCTAACCAGGGAGGTGCAAGATCACTACAACAAGAATTACAAAACACTGCTCAAATAAATCAGTGATGACACAAACAAATGGAAAAACATTCCATGCCTATGGATAGGAAGAAGCAATATATTAAAAATTGCCATGCTGCCCAAAGAAATTTACAGATTAAATGCTATTCTATCAAACTATCAATGACATTCTTCAAAGAATTAGAAAAATCTATTTTAAAATTGATATGGAACCAAAAAAGAGCCAGAATAGCCCAGGCAATCCTAAGTAAAAAGAACGAAGCTGGAGGTATCACATTATCTAACTTCAAACTGTACTAAAAGGCTGTAGTTACCAAAACAGAATGATACTGGTACAAAAACAGACACATAGACCAATGAAACAGAACAGAGAACCCAGAAATAAGGCCACACACCTACAACCATATGATCTTTGACACAGCAGGCAAAACCAGACAATAGGGAAAGAATGCTCTATTCAATAAATGGTGGTGAGATAACTGGCTAGCCATATGCAAAGGATTGAAGCTGGACCTCTTTCTTACACCATACAATGAAATAAACTAAAGATGGATTAAAGACTTAAATGTAAAACCTACAAGTATAAAAATCCTGGAATATGACCTAGGAAATACCATTCTTGACATAGGATCTGGCAAAGATTTCATGTGGAAGATGCCAAAAGCAATTGCAACAAAAACAAAATTTGACAAATAGGATCTAATTAAACTAAAGAGTTTCTGCATAGCAAAAGAAACTATCAACAGATTAAACGGACAGCCTACAGAATGGGAGAAAATATTAGCAAACTATGCATGTGACAAAGGTCTAATATCCAGAATCTGTAAGGAATTTAAACAAATTTGCAGGCAAAGACCAAACAACCCCATTAAAAGATAGGCAAAGGACATGAAAAAACACTTTTCAAAAGAAGACATACACACAGCTAACAAGCATATGAAATAATGCTCAACATCACTAATTATTAAAGAACTGCAGGTCAAAACCACAATGAGATACCATCTCACACCAGCCACAATGGCTATTATTAAAAAGTTGAAAGATAACAGATGCTGGCTAGGTTGCTTATGCAATGCTGATGGGAATGTAAATTAGTTCAGCCATTGTGGAAAGCAGCTTGGCAATTTCTCAAAGAACTTAAAACAGAAATACCATTCAACTCAGCAATCCCGTTTTTGGGTATATACCCAAAGGAATACAAATGGTTCTCCATAAAAACACACACATGCATATGTTCATTGCAGCACTATTCACAATAGCAAATTCATGAAATCAACCTAAATGCCCATAAACCTAAAAGCCCTCAACATTAGTTCCGGCAGACTTAATAAAGAAAATGTGGTACCTATACACCATGATATTATATCGTTTGCAGCAACATAGATGGAGCTGGAGGCCATTATCCCAAGTGAATTAACACAGGAATAGGAAAGCAAATACCACATGATCTCACTTATAACTGTGAGCTAAACATTGAGTACACATGGACACAAAGAAGGAAACAATGGACACCAGGGTCTACTTAAGGGTGGAGGGTGAGAGGAGGGAGAGGATCAAAAAACTACCTATTTGGTATTATGATTATTACCTGGATGATGAAATATCTGTACACCAATCCCCATGACATGCAATTTATCTATAGAACAAGCCTGCACATGTACCCCTCAACCTAAAATAAAAGTAAAAAAAAAAAGAAAAGAAAACAGATAATAACAAGTGTTGATGAGTATGTGGAGAAACTAGAACCCTAATACATTACTGTTAAGAATGTAAAATGGTGCAGCTTCTATGGAAAACAGTCTGACAGTTACTCCAAATGTGTAAAATAGAGTTTCCATATGACCCAGAAATTCCACTCCCAGGTATATACACAAGAGAACTGAAAACAAAAACTTGTATGCTAATGTTTATAGCAGCATTATTTATAGCAGCCAAAAAGTGTACACAGCCCAAATGTCCACCAAATGATGAATAAAATGCAGTATATCTGTACAATGGAATATTATTCATTAGTAAAAAGGAATGAAGATCTGATGATACATGGTACAACATGGATGAACCTTGAAAACATTATGGCAAGTAATAAAAGAAGACAGTCACAATATTGTATAATCCATTTGTATGACATATCCAGAATAGACAAATCTATAGATTCAGAAAGTAGATTATTAGTTGCCTAGGCTTGGAGAGGGAATGTTGGGAATAGATGGAAAGTTACCGCTAGTGGGTACTGGGTTTTTTGTTTCTTTTGGGGGTGATGACAGTGTTCTAAAATTGATTGTAGTAATGGTTGTGAAACTGTGCATGTACCAAAAACAATTGAATTATATACTTTAAAATGGTGTCTTGTTTGGTAGGCAAATTACATCTCAATAAATCTGTTATATTTAACTAAAAGTAACATAACCAATTGGAAGTATGGAGAGAAAGAGAGATGTGCATGTTGCTGAAAATTGCTGGAGTGACCATGGCACTGAGGCTAGGTGATCCTTTTGATTACAGAAGGAGAGAGAATATATCAGAGTTGGCAAACTTCTATTCTACAAAGTAAATTACTGGACAAAGATGAGAATACCATAACCTAATTCTTTCCAAGCATTTGCTAGGAAACATTTTCACAAGCACAGCTCTCTCAGCTGAAGTTTGTCTTCCACCATTTTCTTCTTCCCTGTAGTGCTTAGGTGCCAGCCTCTGGTTTTCCAGAGATGCTGCTGCCACTGCCCTAGCCACTGTCACCACCACCAAAGATGGTGCTGCCACCGGGAACTAATGTTGAGGGCTTTATTGTCTGCATTGTGGATCTTCTTTGAGCCAGGTTATGCCTTCATTTTTAAGCTATATTTAACAAGAAAGCTCCCAAAGCAGGTCTGTCTCATATTTCTTATATCTGCTCTTTTTGGTAGAAGAGATTTACTTGTTTTTCCTCCTGTCACACTGTCTTTAAAACTCAGGCTTGAGTGCCCCAAGATCAGGGCCAAAGAAAAAGCTGAGTGACAGACACTGCAATCAGTGCCCTGTTGAGTTTTACCTTTCTCTCTCAAGCTGTTCACTGCTGTACTGCTGTTGATCCAACCTTGTGAGCCTCCACTCTTTTTTTTTTTTCTAACTGGATTCTTTCCCAGAAGGCTTCTCAATCCTTCATCTAAATAGATCCCTTGAAAGACCATCCTGTCAGTCCTCTAAACATGTCTGAATCTTATGCTAACCAGTATGTGCTCAAGCTGAGACCACCCTCCCACCTGAGCTCCATCCCATAACTGACACAATCTTTATTTAGCAATTCATACCTTATTTACTAAGCACCTGTCATGTGCCAGGCCCTATTCTAGGCACTCAGAAGTGAACCCAATGCAATCCCTGCCCTCATGGAGCTTCTGTCCTGAAGGGGATAGACAACAAGAAATTACATGACTTATTATTTAATTGTGCTCTATAGGAAAAACGCATAGGCTGCTGTTACAAGATATGATAGGAGGATCCAACCAAGGCTAAGGCAACAGGAAAGTGTCCTTGAGGAAGTGATATTTCAGCTGTATTCCGAAGGCTGTGAAGAGGTTAACCAGGTGGAGGAGGTTGAGCAGAGAAATGAGCTTTACAGGCAGAGCAAACAACCTCCATTCATGCATTCATTCAACAAGTATTTATTGAGCATCTATGATATATTAGGTATTGTTCCAAGTGATGAGGATACAGTAGTGAAAAACAAACAAAATTCATATTCTCATGTTGCTTACATTTTAATGGGGGAAGGTGCCAAAAATAAACAATAACTATGTAAAATAATTGGTATGCTAGTAGGTGTTTAGTGCTATGGAGGTTTTTTTTTAAAGCAACAAAGGGTGATAGGGAGGGCTGATGATAGGTGTGGGGAGGGGGTGTGGAGTGCAGTTTGCAAAGATCTAAGGTAGGGTGACTTCTAATACCTTCCAGATGATGAAAGTAGGCAAGCATGGCTGTGGGACTGAGAGTGGATTCTTGTCCTGCTGCTTCTATTAGTACTATCTTCAATTTATATAGCACTTTGTTTTCATATACATTATTTCATACACGGCCCAGTCTTGCCCAGTCCTTTCCAGAACAGCATAGACGACCCTTCTTCACCAAAAGCTTTTGATTCAGCGTGTTGTGGGGACAGTTTCCATGGGAACACGCCTGCAACTTTACAACGAAAGTCAATAGAGAATTAGAGAATTAGGATTCTCTTTACAGAAATGTGTTTTTAGCCAACTTTGCTGGGTCAAAAATGTGTTTGTGGAAATTAATACCTTAGAGCTGTAAATTCTAGCTAATTAGGTCAGACAAAGGGGAGAAGCATTTTGCCAGAATGACCAAATGTGCAAAGGAAGAACTCTGATTCCAAGAAAAGGCAATGTTAAGTGATCTGCAAAGCAGAGAACGATGGATCTGCCTTTCATAGGAGGTGATATGTAGCTGAGTGTTCAGAAGCAAGTGTTCAGAAGAACAAGTACGCAATTCAAAGCCCATCCAGCATGTTTGCTGATAATGAGGCTATACTGCATTTTTAGAAAGCGTTCCTGACACACCTGACACATTGCATGACATTCAAGGAAAAGCACTGAGAAATAGTCTAGATATCTGTTTTAAAGTGGAGAAGAGAGAGACATTGCATATAGTTACTCAGCAAACACCTTTTGTTCTGGCCCTGTCAATTGCTACCTATGTGAACTTGAACCAGTCTAAGCCTCAGTTTCCTCATCTATAAAATTAGAATGAGAATATACATTTTACAGGGTATTGTAAGAAATAAATGAAACAATGAATTTGGAAAGTATTTCAGGATACTGAAAGAGCTGATTTTTATTGAGGTCTTACTATCTTCCAGATACACATTTAAGCATTATAGTTTTAAGTATAAATTAACTCATTTAATCTTCACAACAACTCTAGGGAACTGATACTATTATTATCCTCCCACTTTACAGTTGGGGAAACAGGCTCAGAAATGTCAGATAACTTATTCAGCATCACACAGTAAATGAAAGAGCCACGATTAAAACTTTAGAGATCATGCCCTTACACTACACTGCCTAGGTAACAATTCTAAGGGTAGGGGAGCTAATTTCTCAGAAGCTGGGTATAAAATCTAACTAGTAAACAGCAGAAATAGAATTCAAATGAAGTCTGACTCCAAAGTCTGCTTTTATTCACTATGCAGTATTCTGATAGCACAGTAATAATAGTAGCTATTATTTGTTGACTGCCTATTTACCAAACGCTTTATGAACAGTACCACTAATCTTCATAAGATAGATAACTCTACAAGGCAAATATTATTTTCATTTGACAGGAAAGGAAAATAAGCCTCAGAGAGTTGTTCTTTGATCAAAGGCACACCACTCAGGGTTTGAATCCACATCTGCCTCACACCAGACCCTGTGTCTACTACACCTTGCTTCCATTCTTGTGGAATGTAAAGGGTACAGGTGTTTGTTGTTGGTATCGTATGGGTCAGAGTGTGTGACCATAAGCATTAGCTATATGCCTGTGAAAACTCAGTGATACGATTTTACATGAAAATGGTACCAATTAACTGTCATCTTCCAACTCCTACAATGTCTCCCATCTGATTTAAGGTGGCATGTCTGCCTCTTTCTGCTGTCCCCTCCCTTCTAGCTCTTTCTCTCCTTCCCATCTCTCCCCCTCATTTCCTTTTTCTGTTCTTCTCTACTCTCTTTTTTTTCTCTTCTTGTTTATCCTGCAAATGTCTCTCCACTCTAGAACCATCTGAGTTCAGTCAGGGGGACATGAGGGCATCTTCAGGTTTCTTCAGGGTCACACCAATCCTAGAACTGAATGAACCTCTTGCAGAGACAGTGGTCCTCGTCAGGGTCATCTCATAATGGATGAGGAGACTGGCAATTGACCCAACCTCATCCAGATTTTGATGAATATGTTGACAAAGCCAGTCTTAAGAAAGACCCCACTGTTCTTTGAAAGACATGTCTTAGGAGCACGCATCTTTGGGGCCATAGCTGGTGTAAGAGTGTGCACGAAATCTCCAGCTCATTCACTTATTAAGACATTTTATTCTTCAAATGTAAGTGCCTGGCAGTACCTAAAGAATGAAAAGATAAAGAGAAGGCAGCAAGGTCCCTACCCTCCAAGAGCTAGAAATTCTCAGTCCAATGTGGGAGCAGACACATGCCCAAATACATATAATACACAAAGATAAGTTCTTTAATAGAGATTTATGCAAGATGCATAAGAGACCAGAAGAAATAGCCACTCATTCTTCTTGGAAGGGTAGGAAGTCAAGGAACACTTCAGTGAGGAGGTGGCATTCAAGCGAAGCTTTGGCAGGTGAGGGGCAGATCACCCGAGGAGGAAAGGACATTCTAGGCAGAACAAAGAACTTGTGCAAAGGTCTTTGCAGGATATTTCCTGAGAAAAGACATGGGGATATAAAGTAGAGAGTGTCCATGTGTTATTTAGCAAAGTTGAAGACACACATGGACTGTTCTGAACAGATAGTCACACTGGGTATATGTTGTCTCTACATTTTCTAGATGCCAATGGATTGGTTTGTATGTAGCCAAAAAAGATGCTCAGGAAGCATTTGTTTTAGATTAATGGAATCATCTCTTTTCCTGGCTTGTTATGCATTCACTTTTGAAATACACCCCCTATTCAGGGTAGAAGCTTCTTAGGATGCCTTTTGCTGAAGAATCTTTGGTGCAATATTTTTAGGGATTTGGCATGAATGCCTATGTAGATGGACCCAAAGAGGCTAGTTTAGGGAAGATCAGACCTCCAAACAAGCCAGAGCTTCTGTTTCCTTCCTAAAGTATTCTTCTTCTCTCACTATCTTTTACCCATACTATGTATTCTATGGTCTCAGCCAGTCATTGTTATCCACATTATACTATCACTATCACCATCATTGTCAACATAAGCAGGAACAGCAGTTATTTAACAGGGTAAAAGGAGAATATCATAGGAACTGCTAGTATAGATAGAAGGAAACATACCTCCATCAATGAATTAGGAAACCCTTCTTGCAGGATGGGAAATCTTAGGAGCTTCTGGAATATATGCATGAATAGACACATTTATTATATACCTCTATATATAAGCCTTTTGCAGGCGTTTTCATACACCTTAACTCATGAACTGCTCACATGTTCTCTGTAAGATAGGATTATTATCATTGGCCCCTTTTTTACAGATTAGAATACTATGGATTTATTTATTTATTATTTTTATGATATGGGGTCTCACTACACCGCCCAGGCTGGTCTCAAACCTCTGGCCTCAAGCGATCCTTCTACCTCAGCCTCTCAAAGTGCTGAGATCTCAGGCATGAGCCACCGCACCCAGGATCACATTAGTAAAGGGTAGAACCCCATGTTATTTAATTCCACTTCTAGCATTTTTCTACTATAATACAGCTCAATCCTCCTCCCCTTTACCTGGCTTGATGGGGATGGGGGAGTGAGGTACACTCTGAGACACTGGATTTCACATGAAGAGGAGTCTTTTGAGGTCATTTACTTAAGGGAGCAGAGGTTACCATGTCCAAGAAATCCTGGACCAGATGATTCTGGAGCTAGGTGAGCTCAGTGTGTGCCTCCTCCTCAAACCATGAGACTACATTGAAATCTTCAACAGTGGCACTGTTGAAAGTGCCATTACTAATACTTCCCACAGTGAATAAGGCCTGTAAGTCTGTGCTTGACAGAGAGAGCTCACACTGTACAGGGTGCTCTGGTGGTATTCAACTCTGAGAAGCCCAAAACCCACATCACACACTCCATATATTACCCACAGAACTGCAGTGTCACCCAGGCATTCAGCTGCATGATGGAGGGCTGCACTTCACTGTGGGAACCGGTTAAAGATGCCTGCTGATCTCTGTCCATGGTACTGTCCTAAGGCTGGACACATTTCCTCACTACACCCACCACAGCTCCCACCTTGCTCAGTGCTGCCAAAGCCACGAACATCTTTGGCTTGTGGCTAGAACTGTGTTACAGGGCCTTGTGTGCTGAGCTGTTTGGCCTGGCTTCATCTGGGGCTTCTCCAATGGCTGTTGGCAATTAAAGATGGAAGTGGTTTTCTCCAGATCTCAGTTCCCAAACTTTGAGTCACTCAACCCTGTCCCAGCATGTTTCAAAGGCTCACCCCGAGAGGAGAAGTACTCAAGTGCAGGAGCTGTCCTTGTCCAGGCTAGCTTTGAACACAGCAGCCAAGGCACCTGAGCATGTTGGACAAATGGGGGCAGGACACCCCAGACACTCTGGGAACCAGCACTTTGCTCATCTGGGCTCTATTTGTGAGCCCTACTATTTACCTCCTCTCTCAACAACTCAGATCCACCTCCATAGGACAATGAGTGCAATCAACAGGTTATGTTTGTTTGTTTGTTATAAGGCTTCAAGGAAGTAGGAGGAAAGGGAATATCTGCTATGGGGCACTTTGTTTCAATAGATTGTCATGAACAGAAGACATGATGTGTGTGAAAGTATATCAGAAATCATAAATGTTATTCATTGCCTATCGTCTGAACATCAAGGGTAACTTTCTCAGATATCTACCTATCTACCGTGTGACCATGACCTTTCTTTTCCACATTTATAAAGTACGGAGTGAGAATTTAAGGTTAATATATCCTAGAGTTCCAAAGCCGTTCATGTGTGGCCCCATCCAACCCCTCCAAATTTTGCTTGCTCCACTGAACAAGCCCTTGGCTCCAGACATGCTGTACATGTCAACCGACTCCCAAACACATTGCTCATCATCCTGCCTCAGCACTTCCTCAGCTCATGCTCTTCCTCATGCTTGATATGCTCTTCTCCTTACTGCCTAGTACAGTCATACTTCTCTTCCCGGGCTACCACTCCTGGGGCAGGCTCAGGGACTCCCAAACTCCTTTGGTATCCTGAAGCCCTTTTTCTCACCTCTCTTTCAGCCCTGAATCTGCACAGCCTGAGAGTGTTGCCTTCCTGTGTTTCCATTTCCCCTTCTAGACTATAAAGTCCTTTGAGGCAAAAAAAAAAAAAAAAAAGTGTCTTTAATTGTCTCTGTTTTCTCCTCCTGAGACCTAATACAGGGCCTAAATCAAACACTAGCCGAATAATTCATAGAATAGGGATCCCCTTACCCCTCCAAGGGCTGCTGTAAGGGGAAAAAATGAGACATCTGTCTATTGTCAGGAAAGCTATAGTTTTCTAATACTGTTTAGGACAAAAGAGAGAATTATTGAGCCAGCTTGTCAGTTCCACTGTATTTAAATGGAGCCCTGGGTGCTGCCCCTCAAACAAGAGGAACAGCCGATGCTTGTTTTGATTTTGATTCGTTGACCTCTCAGTTCTGTAACCTCCTTTCAGTTCCTTTGGGCCATTCTTTGAAATTCACCAGGGAAAGCCACCATAAACTCCCAGCCAGAGGCCATTAGTATAATTACTATATAGTATCTGGGCACAATAGTGGTACATTATATGAAAAGTAATATGGTAGTTTCTTTCATAAGTAATATGCTAGTTTTTGTATATGCATATGATACCATAATAATGTTATTTCTGTCATTCACCTTCTTTTATCCTTCTGGGCTAAAAACATACGTTTGGGCTGAAAGACATCCTGTGTCTGGCCTCAGCATGATAGAAAGAAACTTTCTGGATCTATCTCCAGAATGTCAACATCTGTTATGCCCCAGAAATATACAGACACTGTAGCTCCCTTCTTTGGGAGCAGGCTGAGTTGTGGGGCCGATAGGGAGGTGATATGGCAAGCCAAAAACCACAACTCCCTTGGCTTTTGGCTGGCATCTGAAAGAATGTAGCCATTTTATGATACCAGTTACAGAGGCTGAGAATCTTGCAGGCATGTAACATGGAAGTAATGGAGGAATGAAATGTTTTTCCCAAAGAGAAACTCCAGTAAACTCTCTTTAATCTTTGTTATCTAATCTATTAGCCAGTGGAGAGATTATGTTCTCCATGCCCCCTATGGAAAAACTATGGTTCAGAGAGGTTTGGTAATTTTCTAAACATCACACAGTTTGTTTATGGCTGAATTAAGGTTAACACCCAAGATTCTAGGTTCAGGTCTCATACTTCATTACCCCCCTTTGGTCTAATGGATATGCTACCATTGACTGTTAAATAGCAGAGACCAATTATTCCCAAATGGCACCTTCTTGAATTGAAGTCTCACAGTGATTCTCTTCTTTAGATCTGCCTTACAGGGAGGACCACTCTATTTGAGATTCTCTGTTATGTTTTTAGACAATAAAACCCCAGGGAAAGGGATGATGGAGGCTAAGATAGGCCTGATTTGAGTTCCGCTCTAGAAGAAGCAAAGAACGTACTGAAAATCCAATCAGTGTTTTTATATTGAGTGCCTCTGTTGTTCTGGGCACTGTGCTCAGACATGGACATCAAAGTTGAAGGTATCTGCTCTACTCTTCATAAATGAACAGTCTAGAAAGGGAAGAAGACACATAAGCAGACAGTGTCAGTATCATATACTAAGTGTAATGATTACAGTAAACCCAAATGCTATGGGAGCACAGAGAGAATGCCCAGGCTAGTCTAAAGGTAGGGATGGGCCCTCAAAAGTTTTCATGGAGTAACTACAGTTAATATCTGTGCCTGGCCCATTGAAAACATTCAGTAAAAGTTAGCTATTATCACCATGCCAGTACACGTTGTCCCTGCCCTCAAGGAGCTCATGGCCTAGCAAAGGAGAAAGTACCAATATATAACTATAATAATATGCAATTTAAGCTATATGGTCTGTTGGAGAAAACAGACATGGATAATAACTCACATTCAGTGAAGGCTGCCTATGTGCCAAGCAGTGTTCTGAGGACATTATATTTATTCCTTCATTTAGTTCCCATAACAACTCCATGGTTAACACAATTTTTTTTCTCAATTATTAATATAAATGAGGAAACTGAAGCACAGACAAGTAAAGTAACTTGCCCAAAGCCACACAACTAATGGACATTGTTAAGTAGTCACACTTAAACCTGTCTTAAAGAAGAAGAAAAGCCACCTGGAAGATGACCTGGCACTCACAGGTAGGCCATGGCTGGTCTCCTGATGGACATAAACACTCTCACAAAATACTGACATCAGACAATGTTACACTGAGAACATGACAAAATGAAACAAAACAAGGCCTCTTCATAATTTTGTCTAAGCACAGACAAAAAACCCACAAAAGCCTTATCTCCACTTTAGTCTACCTCCCAATAGATAAGATTTATTAAGATGCCCAGTCACAGAATTGCCCTTGCTTTCTGAGAGCATTCAATGTAGAATTAATTCCCACTTTCTTAAACCCTCCCCCAATTACCCAACCAAAATCCAAATCCTATAAGTCCTTTCTACCACCTTTTATCTGAGACACCCCATGATTTCCTGTTTTATTAGTTCGCTCTGGCTGCCATAACAAAATATTACAGACTGAGTGATTAAAACAACTGAGATTTATTTTCTCACAGTTCTGGAGGTTAAAAGTCCAAGATGAAGGTGTCAGTAGGTCTGGTTTCTCCTGAGATCACCATCTCCTTGGCTTGCAGATGGCCTTTTTGTGTTGTCTGTGTCCTAATTTTCTCCTCTTATAAGGACCTCAGTCATATTAGATTAGGGCCCATTCTCAAGGCCTTATTTTAACTTAGTATCCTCTGCAAAGGCCCTATCTCCAAGCAGTCACATTCTGGGGTACTGGGAATAGTCAGAGCTTCAACATATGAATTTTTGGGGAAATGCAAATCAGCCCATAACACCCATGGTGTGTGTTCTCCCTCACTCTAACAAGTAGTAAACCCAAATTGTTCAACTACAGTTGTGTTTCTGGTAGTTTTTGGCTGGAGGGCATTGACAAAAATTATAACTGGTAACAAATAAGCAACTAACTTTATAAAGGAAGAATAGCATATGTAGTTAATACAGGTGAAAACAATGTGCTTTCCGACAACGGAAAAAGAGCAATTCATTCTGGATATTGAGATCCAGCCAATAGATGGGTGGCATTTTACATGTTTAACCTTTTTTGTTTGTTTGTTTTTGCTTTTGAGAACAGAGGCCAAATTTTGTCTTCTTATTTATTCCAGTGCCTGAAAGATGCAAATATATTTGCACAGTGTCTCACAAATGCAAGATAAATAACATATCATCCCTATCCTCAGGACACATATACCTAACTTCCTTGTGACTCGATTTTCTCATTTGTAAAATGGAGATAGTAAAATTGTGTTTGTTGTGAAGATTAAATAATTCATGTAAATTGCTTAGCACAGTGTCTGGCACATAGTAAGGACCCAATAAGTATAATTATTTCAGGATGAGCTATTATTTATGGATGAGTTTCATAGATATAAAATGAGAGGGAGAAATAACAAGAGTGTTTCAAGCAAGTGGGATGACAGAAACAAAGGCACAGAGATGGGGAGTTGTAAAAGCCATACAGACAGTTTATTGTCCAGGAATGAAAGACCCATGGTAGAGCGCCTCAAACTTGGTAAAGTGACCCAGACCTTATTGTCAATGGGATATCTGGAACATTTATCTCCTGTACTTTGCCAGGGAAAAGAAAATATACCCCCGCCTCTGCACTGTTTCTGGGGAGGGATTGTGTGACAGGTGATGGTGAGAAGTTGCACACATCAGATCTCAAAGCCTGAGCCCTCGTAGCAAAATGACGCTGTAGCTGTGGCAGCAAAGAAATCTGAAATGAGGCCCTGCCTGACTGGAGAAGCTGTGCTTTGGCAATGATGTTGGAGCAAGTGCACACAAAGTAGCTACTTTTACCCCTTCTGTTCTAGTACCAACCTTTTCATCTCTTGCCTTGGCTCCTAGTGGTGACAAATCTCCCGAGGCTCAGGCCTCAACCTTGCACCCAGGACTCCAGAAGTACTAAATGGTCCCTCCTGAGTTGCTCTCCAATCGTTTTGCTGTTTCCTGTTGAGTTCCCAGGACGTCTGAAGGAAAATGACCACCTAAGAGATTTTTCAATGACAGCCATCAGGCAGATCTGTTTTCCTTCCTGGCCATATTCAGCTTCCCTTCTTTCCTTTATTCCCCAAACGTCACTCCCCAATTGTCTGCCTTCATCCAACCCTTCAAAAAGGACCCACCTTCCTGGGGGCCCAGGCCCTTAAGTTAAGAGTAGGTAAAGGTTGAATGGTTAGATGCTTGGTGGATGAAACCATTCAAATATTCTTCCCCAAACTTCAGAGTGCCCCTCTCCGCACACACAACTGCCCTAAAAGGCATGGGAGAGTGGTGTCCGGTTGCGTGTCTGCCAGGGGAAGAACGCACCACTGGCGTAGTGGACTGGAAGGGCAGCAGGAACGCGAGTGGGGGGCGGGGTGGGAATGGGGAAGGGGGGTGCGCGCCCTTTATGACAGGTGGCCGCGCAGTGCGCGCTCCCGGGCGCCCGAGGGGAGGGAAGGACAGACGGACAGAGTTGGGGGGGCACATAAGGAAGGGACCATAGAGAGGGTAAGGAGAGCGGGAGGGAAAGGGAGAGCTGTGGTGGGGAAGAAGGGTAGAGGGGGGAAGGCGTCCAGCAAGAACAGCCGTGTTGGAGGAAACAATGGCAGGGGCAACAGCGATGGTGGCAGCAGAGGCGGCCCCACTCTGGGCACCTTTCTGAATGGGCAGAGACAGCTCCGGGAGAAGAGGGGACCAGGCAGTGCCTGCAGAGGCTCTGAGAAAAGCGGCAGAGGGAGGAGAAGAGGGAGGAGGAAGAGAAGGAGGAGGAGGAGTAGGAGGAGGAGGAGGAAGGGGGAGGAGGGGGGACGAGGCAGGGGAAGAACCTGGGAAGGAAAACCAGTAGCATCAGCAGCAGCAGCAGCAGCCGCCGCCGCCACCACCGCCGCCACAGCAGTAGCATTAGCGGCAGTAGCAGCATTTAGCAATAGCTTTAACAGCTATAGCGACAGTAGCAGCCGCCCTCCTCTCTCCCTCTCGCGGACGGCCGCAGCCACCGCACAGAGCGGGCTCCAGGCGCCGAGCGCGCAGCCCGCTCGCTAGGTAGCTCCAGCCGGGGCGAGCGACAGTGTAAGCGAAGCACGGACCCTTGGAGCAGCCGGGCAGCCGCGGAGGCTCTGAGTTTCAGGGCCAGAGCCCGACAGCTCTGACTCCATCTAGCGCGGCGGCGGCGGAGCCTGAGGGAGCGAGCGAGGAGAGAGGCGCGTCCACCTGGCGGGCCCAGCGTATGGAGCTGAGGCAGAGGCGGCGGCGGCGGCGGCAGCAGTAGCAGCGGCGGTGGCGGCTAAGGCAGCTCGAACAGCTGCGGCGACGGCGACAGCCCAGCCTTGACTGCGACCGCGCTAGCTACAGCGCCTGCTGCCTGAGCCCGCCAGCGACGTGCGCCTCGGGAGTCGGCCTGTGAGGTGAGTAGGAGCGCTGCCATACAGCTTCCTGGCCTTCTCGCCGGCTCCCCGGCTGGCTCGGGGTGGCGGCCGCAGGGGGTGGAATGAACTGGGGTAAGTCGAGCTAGACGAGAAGGAAGGGAAAACGGAACGGAGGACGTCTGTATGCGAATGTGTGTGTCTGTGTATGAGGGAGCGAGGCCGCTAGGGCGAGAGATCCCGGCTCGCCCTGACAGGCACTGCAATCTAGGAAAGGCCTCTGTGCTTGCGCCGTAGGAAGGGGGTTGCGGGGGGAGGGGAAGCGAGCGGACCGGAGCCGCCGCGCTTACACGCACGCAGCTCGGCAGAGTGCCGCCTCCTTTCGGACTGGTGCAGGGTAGAGCCTGGCCAGGGAATGGGGCATGGGCATGGCACGCTTCGGCGAGAGCGGGAAAACCCACGCGGCGGCCGAGGCCGGGCGCTCGGACCAAAGCCGCAAAGGTGCGAAGCCGGGCGGCCGTGGCGACCACAGAGCGCCCCCAGGACACGCGCCACTCGGCCGAGGCTGCGGACAGGTTTAAGTTGGAGGCCAGACCGAGCCTCGCCCAGCTCATCTCCTTTGCGGAAATTGGCTTGTGGCCCCTTCGCGCTCTCGGTGGCGGTCGAATTGACGCTTTTCTGTGTGGCTTCTGGCGCTTCTCTCTGCCGCGCCCCGCAGCACACGTCGGCTCGCGTCTTGTACACCCTGTAGGGCGGGAAGGCCGTGAGCCGGCGCGGGGAGCGGAGTCCCGCTCCGGGAAAGTGTGGAAACCGCGCTGCTGAGTTGGCGCCGTTCCGCTGAGGAATTCAGCGATTTCAGCATGACTGCTTCTGTCTGTCTGATTCGTGAGGGACCGAATCACCCGCGCAAGGTTTTCTGTCTTTTTCGAAGTTAAAAAAAAATTGGCATCCCCATTTCGACAACAGCACTCTTGATTTTTATCAAGCTTCTGGTTGCATTTTGGAATAAGTGGGTCTCATATTTTGCTTCTGGATCTTGGCTCCCAGCATATTGTTGAATGCTGTGCACAGCACTACATTTAGATATGTGGCCTTTTTCTAATGTTGCATTTTCTAGACTGTTATCTGAAAAGACATGATTTGTGTTGTAGGGCTGGCAGGGCTGTTTTTAAAAATGTCTAAAGCACTTTAATCCCGGGATTTGAATATATCCTTGGTTGTTTTTGGTGGAGGAGTTCCTGGAATATTTTGCTTGGTGAGAAAAGGTGCTGTAATGGTCTTCTCTGAACTCCTTACGACCATTTGTGTTTTGGAGGGGTGAATCTCCCTTACATCTTTTACACATGAGGTAACATATGACCAAACGTTTTATTTACAGCAGTGACGTTCTTATGGCTGAGGAGAATTTACACTTATTGAAAAAATATTTTTAGAAGGGAACAAAAAAGTCCTAAGTAACTGTCATTTTACATATTAACTGGGAAACCGGCTAATCAAATAAAACTGGCTGAGTGTCTGAAACTCTATCCCAGTGAAATATGTGGCTGTGAATATAATTAACCATCTGTCTAGTGAGCAATTTAAATTTGGGCTGGTACATTTTTATTACAGTGTCTAATTTCTGGAAGACATACATTTTACCCAGCAGTAACAACAAAAACGTATTTGCTTACTAGGTCAAAAATTTACTGTGTGGTGGTGGTATTTCCCTTTCTTCCTCCATGTCTTTCATAGTCCCCACACTGCGTAACCTGGGAGGTCAAAAATGAGCTTCTTGTTTTTGCAAATAGCGTATTTACAATAGAGGAACTGAAACTAGCCCTGGTGGCTAGTGATTAGACATTTTTGTCTCTTAGAAATACTTTCCAATATTTCACCTCCCCGAAAATCTAGATAGATTGCATGCATGCTAGTTAAAAAAATATAATTTTTTGGTGCACATGGGGTAGGGTGATTGAACAAAATTTGTAAGACTTGAAATTTCTCTATTTACTTTCTCTTATTCTGATGAATTCTCTACCTGGCTGTCCCAACTGGCCCCCCCAGACATAAACTCATACAAAAACACATGCTTTTTTCCTTTTAGACAGTTTTTAAGGTTAACAGCATTCAGATCTGTGATTTTAACAATATACTGATAAACTGCTTTTTTTTGTAAATCGTAAGTGTAAAATACCATGACATAAAAATACATTGTACATATATTTAAAGTTTTCCCTATGGTGTGATTTTAGCCAGAAATTTATTACTAGGAAAAAAGAGGGATAGAGTTTGAGTAGAGATGAAATGGCTCCGGGAAGATTAGATTTGAGAGACCTTCACCAAATAGCTATTGTTAACATAACATAATTTAAATGAACCACGGATTGATTGTGCAGTAAGCTAGAGAAAGTCATTTAAAGGAAAATATTTTTAAAGCAAATATTTGCCTAAATAACAGCTCTGATAAATTGGTAACAATTATGTAAGTACATGGCAGAATTTGACATATGTCAAGTCTGTTAAATAAATCAACCTGTTCAGTGAATAAATCTTTGATGCATCAGTGCTTTTTCACACACACACACACACACACACACACACACACCCATAACACCCTGTTGCCAAAGTCAAACAACTGCAGTACTGCCACTTTCTGTTTTACTTCAAGTCTGTCCCTTTTCCCTCTTTTTCTTTTTTCCACAATCTTCTGGTTACCTGTAAGCTACCTGGTGAGCAGAGAGAACTAAAGGTGAGGTGGTGTTGCCTGTGTTTAGGAGGTGGGAGAAGATGAGAAAAGTGCTAAGTGTTGGAGCACACAAAGATGGGTTCATGGATCCTGGACACGGTCACTATGGAGGTCCTCGTCTCACGGACCACCATAGTGTATTTGCATAGGAGAAGGACTGGCCTATCCAGAGAAGCATTGGTTGCAGTTTCTCTGTTCCTAAATCCAGTTCTAGTAAATAATATTTTTTCTTCTGTATATCCCTTAGTAAGGGGAGAAAAATAGATTCTAAATGGCATTCGACTGTTACATTATCTTTAATCTTTTATCTGATGGCACATATATAAGTGTTCCCGGTAGGAGTAAGCAAAAGGAGAAAAGGGCCAAAGTGGATGAAAGGGAAGGGGAATGATTGACTAAGGAGTAGGTCATTTGGCTTCCTTGTTTTTCCCATCTTAAGAGATTTTTGGTTTGGACATTATTCATTTTTTTTTTCTTTTACTTCCTCTGAAAAGTTGGCCACCAGCTCCCTAATGGACAGTTTCTCCACCAGAGCACCTTTTCAAACCCAAGGTCATAGGGTCAGACACAAAGCACTTGTTACGTTCTCTATGGCACTTCTCCAGGGCTGCTTGAAAACAAAACAAAGAATATATACACCTACTACGTACCCATAAGAATTAGAAAAACAAAAACAAAAACAAAGAGCACCAGACAAGTTTGCATCACTTGGAGCTACCTTTAAGTTCACACCTTTTCTCTTGCCCAGAAAATTTCTTTTTAGGCAGAGGTGAACATTCGTGTCTTCTCAAACAACAAGTGGCTCTGTTTGTAAGTACATCACAACCTTGGGGAAATCTGGTCTGGGGTGTCGTCAGTTGGGAAAGTGGAGGGTTGGGGAAAGCTGCCTTTTAGTGATGATAGAGTCTTTTATGGACCAGCTACAGGTAGGCGTGAGGACCTTCATTGTCTCTGTTCCCTTCAGTCCCTCATTGCCCACAGTGATTCACAGGCCTCTGCTAGGGAACGTGCTCATTTTGGTCTTTTTCTGCAGGTAAGCACTATGATCTGATTTCTTTCCCTACCATCTTCTCTGGTGGAAAAGAAGCTGAAGTCTTCATGACCAACTATTAATACTATGTACACAATTATTACTTTTCCAAAGAGCACTTCAATATGTCATCTTATTTATCCCCAGTGTGATAATTTTGATGTAAACAATTATCTACTGTTTTCTCTAGCACCCTCAAGCCCCATTAAAAAAATTTTCAGCTTCTCACCCTCAGTAGCCCATTTTAAGTGTTATACCACTAGCTTAAACAAGAAGTTCCTCCTGATGTTTACTCTGAAGGGGTTTAGAGGTTTGAGACCAAGATTAATTATACCTTGGGCCTGAGTGCTAAAGTAGTGCCAAGTCATCCTCTGTCAAGAACAGGTGTAAAGACTTAAACGTTAGACCTAAAACCATAAAAACCCTAGAAGAAAACCTAGGCATTACCATTCAGGACATAGGCATGGGCAAGGACTTCATGTCTAAAACACCAAAAGCAATGGCAACAAAAAACAAAATTGACAAATGGGATCTAATTCAACTAAAGAGCTTCTGCACAGCCAAAGAAACTACCATCAGAGTGAACAGGCAACCTACAAAATGGGAGAAAATTTTTGCAACCTACTCATCTGACAAAGGGCTAATATCCAGAATCTACAATGAACTCAAACAAATTTACAAGAAAAAAACAAACAACCCCATCAAAAAGTGGGCAAAGGATATGAACAGACACTTCTCAAAAGAAGACATTTATGCAGCCAGAAGACACATGAAAAACTGCTCATCATCACTGGCCATCAGAGAAATGCAAATGAAAACCACAATGAGATACCATGTCACACCAGTTAGAATGGCAATCATTAAAAAGTCAGGAAACAACAGGTGCTGGAGAGGATGTGGAGAAATAGGAACACTTTTACACTGTTGCTGGGACTGTAAACTAGTTCAACCCTTGTGGAAGTCAGTGTGGCGATTCCTCAGGGATCTAGAACTAGAAATACCATTTGACCCAGCCATCCCATTACTGGGTATATACCCAAAAGACTATAAATCATGCTGCTATAAAGACACATGCACACATATGTTTATTGCAGCACTATTCACAATAGCAAAGACTTGGAACCAACCCAAACGTCCAACAATGATAGACTGGATTAAGAAAATGTGGCACATATACACCATGGAATACTATGCAGCTATAAAAAATGATGAGTTCATGTCCTTTGTAGGGACATGGATGAAATTGGAAATCATCATTCTCAGTAAACTATCACAAGGACAAAAAACCAAACACCGCGTGTTCTCACTCATAGGTGGGAATTGAACAATGAGAACACATGGACACAGGAAGGGGAACATCACACTCTGGGGACTGTTGTGGGGTTGGGGGAGCGAGGAAGGATAGCATTAGGAGATATACCTAATGCTAAATGATGAGTTAATGGGTGCAGCACACCAGCATGGCACATGTATACGTATGTAACAAACCTGCACATTGTGCACATGTACCCTAAAACTGAAAGTATAATAATAATAAAAAAAAAGAACAGGTGTAGCAATTCATTTTATTTAGGGGAAGTTAAAACATTTCCTCTATGGAGGACTATAAGTAGAGTGACCATATGTTGTGGTTTATGCCTGTTGCTCCAGCATACTTATTTTACCCTCAAAAATGTCCCAGTTTGGAAAAGAATTTTGTGATCACCTTAGTATAAGCCACCTTTGAAAGAAACCATGATTCTCAATTTGGGGAGGTGATTATATTTGCAAAACTTGAGGGTATAATGAGCTTTGGAGACATTATAGTCCCCTAACCCAGCTCAACCTATCTTTTTCCTAGTTAAGAGATCTTTCTGGAGAAGAACCCCTGAAATGATTCAGGGTTTCGGCTCAACAGAATTGGATTATTGGCTCCAAAGGCATCTCTCCTAAATGCCTGTTTGTATTTGCACATACACATGCACATAAAGAGGTGATGTCTGCATGCTGGAAAATGGCTGCTCTAACTTTCATGAAAGACTGGTAAGAATTAATAAGTTTAAAGTTTATCAGGAGAAACTTAGGTTTAGAAGCAACATCCTGACCATGGTATTTGTGAGATACAAGGGCATAGCACCAAGAGAAGTGTTAATTCTTTTCAGAATAGGTTTGAGAAGTGCACAGGCAACTTTCTATTTCAAATAGTTTGTATGTGGTCATTACTCTTATGTATATAGTTTTTCAATTTGCCTTTTCCATAATGGACACGATGATCTTTTCAACTACCTCTCATTCCTCCCAGTATCCATGATTGGCTTTCATCGATCTAGGGCAGGAGTTAAAAGAAACTATGGCCCACAGGCCAAATCTGGCCTGCCATGGAAAAAGAAATAATGCAGACAAGAAAAAAAATGGAGCCATTTAGAGTTGCTTCTGCAAACATTTTCAGGCTTCCTCTTCTTAATTGAGCTTCATTTAGTTCAATGTTAGGATGAGTCCACATTTCATGATTATATTTCAGCTCATATCTAGTGTTTGGAGATTGTCCAGAGCCTGGTAGAGTGGCAGGGGGTGACCCGAAAAGTGAAATCCACAAATGGATTTTTTTGTTTGAGTCAAAATGTCAATAGCTATTTTTTCTTTCCTGCCTAGGTGAGTAATCCAAATTTTGTTGTGCCACTAAATTCTTTATGCCTTCCTCCCCAATATTTGTCATGTTATTCCAGACATGCATATGATTTATTAACCCAGAGACTAGATCTCAGCAAATTGCTTGAATAGGAACATGCTTTGTCTTTAGTTACTAAATAACTGGAACACATCCTGAAGATGTGCTGTTTTACTAAGTAGGGAAGTAGAAAAAGTGGGTCATCACCATCTAGCCAATAGTCCCTAACCTTGGCATGAACCCCTGTGAAAATTCAGTGAATGCCAAGGATACTCTCTTCAGAAAAGTGCATATTTACACATGTAACACTTGCATACATTTTCAGGAAGTCCAGCCATATATTGTGAGTTTAAACCTCCGTGCTGGCCTTTCCCTAGCTGTTACAGAATTCTTGTTGTATGGCTGTCATGGTCATGGTAGCTTGAAATGGAAGCCATTAAATGTCTCTCTCAAAAAACATGTTATTAGTATATTTATGGGCCACATCCCTCAGCTACCGTACAAGCATTTTTCTGATTAGCCTTCACAGACATTTTTTTATTATGAAGAAGAGCCACTTAGCACTCACTTTTACATTACCATTCTCACCAAAAACGTCAAGACTAGTTTCCCCAAATTATTGACTTGTCAACTCTCTGATTCTTCAAAATGCCTGTTCAGCTTTCACACACCCCACACACAAGTTCATCATTAATATATAAAATATATTCCATAAAAGCTCACTCACATTTCATCTGCCTCTACCTCTCTCTGTTTCATCTGTTTCTCTCACTCTATATATTTCTCTTAGCCAAGGTTCTGACAAATGTGGGGAACTCTTTCTAGCACCAATCATTAGGTATGGTGATGGAGTCAGAGAGGGAGATGGTGTCTAGACACCTTCATGGGGACCTTGAGACACATGAGCTTTTTGGAGTATTAGACATCTTGGAGAGAGTTAATGTATTTCATCCTGGATATCTAACATCATATATTAAAGGCAAAGTTCCTTAAGCTCTGCAAACACAAATATATGCCACATCTGCGCCTTGCAGTTGGGATGGTAGTAATAGGTGGTATATTAGTCTGTTCTCATACTGCTATAAAGAAATAACTGAAACTAGGTAATTTACAAAGAAAAGAGGTTTAATTGGCTCATGGTCCCACAGGCTGTACAAGAAGCATGGCTGGGTAGGCTTCAGGAAACTTTCAATTATGGCAGAAGTGGAAGCAGGCATGTCTTACATGGCCAGAGCAGGAGGAAGAGACCAAAGGAGGTGGTGCTACACACTTTTAAACAACCAGAGCTCATGAGAACTCACTCACTATCATGAGAACAGCAAGGGGGAAATCTGCCCCCCATGACCCAACTACCTCCCACCAGGCCTGTCCTCCAACATTGGGGATTACAATTCAACATGGGATTTGGGCAGGGACACAAATCCAAACCATATCAAGTGGTATTCAGATTCATGAATAAATGTTTATTGCTTGTTGTCTTGGTAGTTTAGAATACTGTAGAGCATGTGGGTTAATAGAACCCTAAGACTGGAGGGGTCCATTAATGATAATTACTGATTCAATTCAGCAAACACTTATTGAACATCTACTCTGTGCTAAGCCCTGAGATATTGGGGACAGATAAAAGAATAAAATGAATTTTTCTGTCTCATAGGGAATTAGCTTTGCTCCTGGCTGGGTCTTTTTACCATCTGCATGAATTTACCCCCCTATTTTCCTAATTCAATGCATTCTTCTATTGTTTCTATGTTCTACCCCTTGGTAAATGTCTTAGTCTGTTTCCTGTTGCTTTTAATGGAATGCCTGAAACTGAGTAATTTATAAAGAAAAGGAATTTATTTCTTAAAGTTATGGAGGCTGAAAAGTTCAAGGTAGAGGGGCTGCATCTGGTGAGGGCCTTCTTGCTGGTGAATTCTCTGTAGGGTCCTGAAGCAGTACCATGGCATCACATGGCAAGGGGGCTGAATGTGCTAGCTCAGGTCTCTCTCTTCCTCTTCTTATAAAGCTACCAGTCCCACTCCCGTGATAACCCATTTATCCATTAACCTATTAATCCATTAATCCATGAATGGATCAATCCATTCACCTTTTAAAGGCTCCACCTCTCAATACTGCCACATCAGGGATTAAATTTCAAAATGAGTTTTGGAGGAGACAAATCAAACCTCAGGGAGTTTCTTGGCAAATAGGTATCTCTAGCTGGGTTGAGACAAGATTTCCAGCCCCTATGGCAAAAATGCTTCTTTTCTTATCCTTGCATTAGTTTAGCAGGCCCCATTTAATAGGGAATAATGTGATTGTTTCCCTGTGATTCTGAGGCAACATTTCTATCACTGCTATCATTGGTGATGTGGAATTGCAAATATCATTAGCCGTGATGTATTGACTACTGCCTTAAAATTATAGTATGGAGTTGTTGATTCTGACTAATGAATTGAATGTACTCTGCAAAAAGCCAGCTGTCCATCTTTGAGTGAGTTGATTTTTAACCCCTATTTGGTAGCTTTAGCAGTTTTCTACTATGGTTGCTGTAACAAATTTCCAAAATCTTAGTGGTTTAAAACAACAAATTTATATTTCTACAGTTTTGAAGGTCAGAGATTGTCTGAACTAGGCACTGACTAGGCTATAATCAAGGTGTAGGCAGGGCTATATTTATTTCTGGGGTCTCTGGGTGGAGACTCCATTTTCTTGCTTTTCTGGCTTCTAGGGGCTGCTGGAATTTTTTAGCTCATGGTCCCCTTCCATATTCAAGCCAGAGATGGGAGATTGTTTCCTCACACTGCATCACTTAAATCTTGCTTCCATCATTACATTTCCTTTTCTGACTCTCACTCTTCTACCTCCCTCTTCTGTTTATAATGACCCCTCTACTTATATTTGGTCTATCTGGATGGATAATCTGGGATAATATTTCCATCCCAAGATTTGTTGATTTTCAACCATAATTCTATCTGCAATTTTAATTCCTCTTGTGCCATGTAACCTAACATATTCACAGGTTCTAGGAGTAGGATGTGAACATCTTTGAAGGCCTTTATTCTGCCTACCACAGTGACTTGACTTTTTTGTTGTTACTTTTTATTTTGGAATAATTATAGAATCACTGGAAGTTGCAAGGACAGAGAGGCCCTGTGTATCCTTCTCCCAATGCCCCAATGGTTACATTTTGCATAATAGTTCTGTGTAGTTCTGTATCACTTTATCACATGTGTATATTTGTGTTTTTTATTTATTTTTAGTTTTGTAGAAACATGGTTTTACTGTGTTGCCCAGGCTGATCTTGAACTCCTGGACTCAAGAAATCCTCCTGCCTTGGCCTCCCAAATTGCTTGGATTACAGGTGTAAGCCAGCGTGCCCAGCCAGCACACATGTATATTTGTGTATCCACCATCACAATCAAGATAAAATATTATTTCATCACCGCTAGAGATCTCTTTTGTGCTACACCTTTATAGTCTTTGTAATTCACCCCCACTCCTTTGCCATATCAAACTTGCAATCACCAATATATTTTCCATATCTAAAGTTTTATCATTTCAAGATTTTTATATAAATGGAATCATTGAGTATGTGACTTTTGGGGGTTGGCTTTTTTCACTCAGCGTAATGCCCTGAGATCTATTCCAGTTGTTTTGGGCATTAACAATTCATTTCTTTTTACTGTTGAACAGTATTACATGGTATTAGTGTATCACAATTTATTTAATCATTCACCTGTAGGGAGAAATTTTGGTTGTCTGGAGTTTTTGGTTATTACAAATAAAACTGCTATGAACATTAGCATACAGGTGCTTTTTGTTTGGTTGGTTGGTTTTGTTTGTTTGTTTGTTTGAGTGGGGCGGAGACTTTCTCTGTTGCCCAGGCTGGAGTGCAGTGGCACAATCTCGGCCCACTGCAATCTCCACCTCCCAGGTTCAAGTAGTTCTCCTACCTCAGCCTCCCGAGTAGCTGGGACTACAGGCGCATGCCACCATGCCTGGTCAATTTTTCTAATTTTTGTATTTTTAGTAGGGATAGGTTTCACCATGTTGGCCAGGCTGGTCTTAAACTCCTGACCTCAAGTGATCCACCTGCCTTAGCCTCTGATTACAGAGTTGGAATTACAGTGCTGGGATTACAGGCATGAGCCACTGCACCTGGCCTAGCATTTTTGTGTGAACATAAGTTTTCATTTCTCTGGGAAAAGCTCCCAGGAGTGCAATTGCTGCATTGTATGGTAAATGTATGTTTTAGTTTTTTAAACTAAAAACTGATTTTGCAGTTTTTTCAGAAACTGAAAATCTATTTTCCAAAGTGTCTGTAAGTACATAACTTATTATAGTCTACTAGTATCAACATTTTACCTGTTTGAGTAAATTATAGAAACCTTACCCCTCTTTAAGTTCCTTTAACCTTCCCCACTTATAATTGCCTTACTTTCTCTACATATATCTAGAACTACATTAGACAATGCTACAATTTTTGCTTCAACCCTCAAACATAATTGAGAAACCCAATGGGAGAAGCAAAGTCAATTATATTTACCCTTTTACTCTTTCTGTTGTTGTTTCTTTCTGAGGTTTCTAGATTTCTTCTTTTACATTTTTTTTCTGTTAGAGATCTTCCTTTACTTATTCTTTTAATGCAGGTTTGCTAGCAACAAATTATCTTAGTTTTCCTTCTTCTGAGAATTTATTGATTTCCCATTCATTCCTGAAGGATATTTTCACCTGATGTAGAAATCCTGGTTGACAGGTTGTTGTTGTTTCCTGAAAGCATTTGAAAAATGTGCCATTTCTTTCTGGTCTTCATGGGTTCTGATGAGAAATCTGCTTTCATTTGAATTGTTTTACACTTGTAGTTAGGGTGTCATTTCTCTCTTGCTGCTTTTAAGGTTTTTTTTTTTTTCTTTAGTCTTTAGAAGTTTGACTATGATGTGCCTTGGCAAAATTTCTTTGGGTTCATCTGGTTTGGTATATGCTAAGCTTCTTATGTCTGAAGGTTTATGTCTTTTGCCAAGTTTTGGAAGTTTTCAAGTATTATTCCTTCAAATAATGTTTCTGTCCTGCCTTCTATTCTTCATGGTTTCTTCTGATGAGAGAAAACTTAGATCTTGTTTTTGTAGTTCTACAGGTCCCCGAGGCCTGTTCATTTTTCTCGTCTATTTTTTCTCTGTTGTTCAGACTAGATAGTTTCTATCATTATATTTTCAAGTTAAGTGATTCTTTTCTCCATCTTCTTCATTCTGTTGTAGAGACCATACATTGAGTTTTTATGTTTTGATTATTATATTTATGAGACTTTCTATTTTTCGTTTGTTACAAGAGTGTTTCTAATTACTTATTGAAACATTTTTGTGATGGCTGGTTTAAAATCTTTGTCAGATAATTCTAATATCTCTTTCATCCTGGTTTTGCCACCTATCAATTGCCTTTTTTCATTCAGTTTGAGATCTTTCTGGTCATTGGTATGATAAGTGATTTTTATAGAAATATATACGTTTTGTGGTATGTCATGAGACTTTGGATCTTATTTAAACTTTCTGTTTTATCTGGCTTTCTCTGGCACTGCTCTAGCTCCAGGACCTCCAATTCCTGGGGAAGGGAGTTGCTGTCTTGTTACTGCCAGATGGTAGTAGAAGTCTGCTTGCTTGTTGACAGTTGGAGGGCAGGACTTCTCATTATTGCTTGTTAGGGGTTGGAATTCAGCCACATTTCAAGTGCTTGGTAGCCATGTATGGTTAGTGGCTACCATATTGGATAACATATATGTAGAGCATTTCTGTCACTGCTCTAGGAAGACTGAGGTTGGGGGAGGGAGCAGTAAAAGAGCTTGGCACTACAGGAATTGGGGTTTGGGAAAACTGGCACAGATGGAATAAGACAAGGATCTAGTTATTGTATCTGAGGTCCATGGCTAGGGTTTGGTTCCAAAACCTGAGGTGCTGTGAGTTCTATCTAGAGAAATATGGGCACAGAGAACTCATCTGGTTAATATGGATCCAGTAGGGCAGAGTTAGTATCCATAGTATTAACTAAGTTTTGTCCTCTCAGCCATTGTAAAAGACATGGTGTGGCATGCTGCAGATCCTAGTACCACTCTATTTGAGTAGAGGGAAAGTCTTCCCTATTAGATGGCAGTTAGTTTGCTTATTTGTAGCAACATACTTGACCTCCATGACTGAGGTAACCATTGATTGAGGAAACGTTAACAGAAAAGAGTGAGTTGTGAAAAGGGTATTCATTTAGTTTATAGGATCTAGGGTTTCTTTGGCATCTTGGTGGCCTTAATGTTCTAATCCTTGAGACTTCCAGCATGCTTAGCCAGGTGGGGAGCATTTATGTAAGAACTCTGTCCTTCACTGAGCTCTGTGTTGACTTGTTGGCACTTTTTGTCCAAGTCCCAAAGAGTTAGTGGACCCTGTTACACAGCTTCTTTGTACACTGAAATAACTGTTGCCTTCTCAAGTCTCTCTTTGCTTAGATTAGTGGGGGTGTACTTAATGTAGATTCAGTGTTTTCAATCTCCCCTTGGGGCAGTTCGTTATATTTTCCCTTACTGGCTCTATGTGTGTATACATCCTAATGTGCTTGTATTTATGGACTGCCTGTGTACTGTATCTCTTGGCAAGGGAAAAGGAATACCTAGTGTCTATTGAATATGTATTGTTTGTATAGTATACAGGTCACATGACCTTTTCCCTTAGCAAGACCTGTATGTGCAAAGCTGTGGCTTTGACATGTTAAGATATTTCATAACACAGTCAAATCCACTTGGCTGAATAGGTGAAAGAAAAGGGAATTGAGCCAGGGCTATAGTGGGATTTTTCACATCTATGTCGTTTGACTTAAAATGAAACAAAAATACACACTCATTTGAGAAAGAAGCAGTTTCAGAGTTAGGCTGTAAAGAGAAAATAAACATGCTTTATAACCCAAAGCCAAGGTGTTGGTTTTAAAACCCTAGACTATGGCTCACCCAGATCCTTCCAGTATGTGTATATGTGGGGAGGAGGTGAGTGTTGCTGGTCTGCTACTCAGAGATATGGAGATGGTATCATGGGAGCAAAATCCCAATTTGTCACTTTGTCTTTTAAGAAGGCTCCAAATATGCCACTTACTTTTTTTTCTTTGAGAAGGAGTCTTGCTCTGTGTAGTGGCATGATCTCAGCTCACTGCAACCTCCACTTCCCGGGTTCAAGTGATTCTCCTGCCTCAGCCTCCTGAGTAGCTGGGATTACAGGCACCCGCCACAACCCCTGGCTAATTTTTGTATTTTTAGTAGAGACAGGGTTTCACCATGTTGTCAAGGCTGGTCTCAAACTCCTGACTTCAGGTGATCTTCCCGCCTTGGCCTCCCAAAGTGCTGGGATTACAGGTGTGAGCCACCACATCCGGCTGCCACTTACTTTTGAAGACAGTGGTCACTAGTTGTGCTGAGGGGCCAAAGGGTCAGGATACTCTTATACAAATCTAAGAAGAGAACCTGGAATCACCTTTTCTTGCCATTGATCTTACCATTTTCCTATAAGCCACAGTATTAGTTTGTTTTCACGCTGCTGATAAAGACATACCTGGGAAGAAAAAGAGGTTTAATTAGACTTACAATTCCACATGGCTGGGGAGGCCTCAGAATCATGGTGGGAGGTGAAAGGCACTACTTACATGGTTGCAGCAAGGGAGAATGAGGGAGATGCAAAAGCAGAAACCCTTGATAAAACCGTCAGATCTTGCAAGACTTATTCACTACCACCACAACAGTATGGGGGAAACTGCCCCCGTGATTCAAATTATCTCTGACAAGGTCCCTCCCACAGCATGAGGGAATGATGGGAATACTATTCAAGATGAGATTTGGGTGGGCACACAGAGCCAAACCATAACATTCCATCCCTGGCCCCTCCAAATCTTATGTACTCACATTTCAAAACCAAACACGCCTTCCCAACAGTCTCCCAAAGTCTTAACTCATTTCAGTATTAACCCAAAAGTGCACAGTCCAAAGCCTCATCTAAGACAAGGCAAGTCCCTTCCATCTATGAGCCTGTAAAGTCAAAAGCAAGCTAGTTACTTCCCAGATACAATGGGGGTACAGGTATTGGGTAAATACATCTGTCCAAATGGGAGAAATTGGCCAAAACAAAGGGGTTACAGGGCCCATGCAAGTCCAAAATCCAGCATGGCAGTCAAATTCTAAAGCTGCAAAATGATCTCCTTTGACTCCATATCTCATGTCCAGGTCACGCTGATGCAAGAGGTAGGTTCCCATAGTCTTGGGCAGCTCCACCTCTGTGGCTTTGCAGGGTATGGCACCCCTGCTGGCTGCTTTCACAGGCTGGCACTGAGTGTGGATTTTCCTGGCACATGGTGCAAGCTTTCAGTGGATCTACCATTCTGGGTCTGGAGGATGGTGGGCCTCTTCTCACAGCTCCACTAGGCAGTGCCCCAGTAGGGACTCTGTGTGGGGGCTCTAACCCCACATTTTTCTTCTGCACTGCCCTAGCAGAGGTTCTCCGTGAGGGCTCCACCCCTGCAGCAAACTTTTGCCTGGGCATCCAGCATTTCCATGCATCTTCTGAAATCTAGGTGGAGGTTCCCAAACCTCAATTCTTGACACCTGTGCACCCACAGGCTCAACACCACGTGGAAGCTGCCAAGGTTTGGGGCTTGTACCCTCTGAAACCATGGGCCGAGCTGTACGTTGGCCCCTTTTAGCAACAGCTGGAGCAGCTGAGACACAAGGCACCAAATTCCTAGGCTGCACACAGCATGGAGACCTTGGGCCTATCCCACAAAACCATTTTTTCCTCTTAGGCTCCTGTGTCTATGATGGGAGAGGCTGCCATGAAGACCTGTGATATGCCCTGGAGACATTTTCCCCATTGTCTTGGGGATTAACATGTGGCTCCTTGTTACTTATGCAAATTTCTGCAGCCAGCTTGAATTTCTCTTCAAAAAGTGGGTTTTTCTTTTTTACTGCATCATCAGGCTACAAATTATCTGAACGTTTATGCTCTGTTTCCCTTATAAAAGGGAATGCTTTTAACAGCACCCAAGTCACCTTTTGAATGCCTTGCTGCTTAGAAATTTATTCCACCAGATACCCTAAATCATTTTGCTCAAGTTCAAAGTTCCACAAATCTCTAGGGCAGGGGCAAAATGCCACCAGTCTCTTTGCTAAAACATAACAAGGGTCACCTTTGCTCCAGTTCCTAACAAGTTCCTCATCTCCATCTGAGACCACCTCAGCCTGGACCTTATTGTTCATATCACTGTCAGCATTTTTGTCAAAGCCATTCAACAAGTCTCTAGGAGGTTCCAAACTTTCCCACATTTTCCTTTTTCTGAGCCCTCCAAACTGTGCCAACCTCTGCCTGATACCCAGTTCCAAAGTCACTTCCACATTTTCAGGTATCTTTTCAGCAATGCCCCACTCTGCTGGTACCAATTTACTGTATTGGTCCATTTTCATGCTGCTGATAAAGACATACCCGAGAATGGGAAGAAAAAGAAGTTTAATTGGACTTACAGTTCCACATGGCTGGGGAGGCCTCAGAATCATGGCGGGAGGTGAAAGGCACTTCTTAAATGGTGGTGGCAAGAGAAAATGAGGGAGATGCAAAAGTGGAGACCCCTGATAAAACCATTGGATCTCATGAAACTTATTCACTACCACAACAACGGTATGGGGGAAACTGCCCCCATGATTCAAATTATCTCCCACTGAGTCCCTCCCACAACATGTGGGAATTATGGGAGTATAATTCAAGATGAGATTTGGTGGGGACACAGAGCCAAACCATATCAGCCACTGTGGGGTGGGTGGTTGTGTGTGTGTGTGTGTGCACGTGCATGTGCACATTTTTCTCCCTAATTCAGTAATGCTTTGTTAGCTATACTTACATGGATTTAGCACCTGAATGAACAGAAAAACCCATTTGTTTATTGTCGAAATAGTGGGGATGCCATGACATTGCTGACTGCCATGATTTGTGATTCATTAAGGCCAGGATACTTCTAGACAATCACTGAAAGTTGAAAAGCAGGTAAGTGAATTAATCTCTTCCCTTTGATTTTCACCTTTAATATTATAACCTTAGATATGACTTCAATATCTTCCAGCACTGAGTAGAATTGGTTAAGGGAAGGCCAGAGTGGATGTAGTTAACACCAGGAATGGAATTCCTTTTGTTTTCTGAAAATTCAGTTTATAGTTTATTAGACTGAAGAATCCACAGGCCTGCCTCAGACAACCAGGCCATATACTAGACAAGAGCACTCTCAGATTACACTTTGAAATGAAAGCCTATTTTGGCATAATATGCACTGAAAGGAAAAGTGTGCTCCTAGGTATGCTCTTTACTTTGCCTTTTGGACTGTCCTCTTGGGTTTCCTCAGCCTTTCTCTGATCTGTATGGCTCTAGGCCCCACTCCCAATAACCCTCTAGGAGGCTCTGTTCCATGTCATCTACTTATGGCACTGAAATACCAGGTGTCACATGGTATAAGGTAGTAGTGACCACAAGGGGCCCAGAGGAGGATGTTTGCCGAGGGAAGCAGCCTGTTTCCAGATCCTCAGGTAGAGGGTGTGCTCAAGCAGCTGAGACAGCCTGAGGTGGGAGAAGGAGCAGTGGATGATAGGTCAGAGCTGCCATTTCCATTGGTTGTTGAGATGGCCAGCTGAGGGAGACAGTTGTTTGTTCAGTGGTCCTGAGGAAGTAAAATCATATACTGGTGTTTTTTGATTCAGGCGACAGATTGATGTTAAGGGACCATAGGCATTTAGGCTGCCAATAATAATACCTGATCATCCTATAGCTCCTTCTAAAGGACTCAAAGGACTCCTATATTTTATTTCATTTGGCCTCACAAACATCTTCATGGACTTAGGAAAGGTAAATATTGATAGTCATGTAGGACAAGCTTTTCTCTCTCTCTGGGCCTCAGAATTTTCAAATTGTGAAATGGAGGCTTGGTCTAGAGATGATGATCTCTAAGGTCGTTTCCCACAGTAACAGTTTCTATGGTGGCAACATCTTCCAGGTGGAGGAATTAAGTCTCAGACACTTTAAAGTGAGTTGGACACAACTACACTCTCTATCAGGTACAGAGTGATGATTACAGGCCCAGGCCATGATCCCTTCCCTTAGCTTGCCCTATTAGTGGTCTCTTTGAACAGTGAGGTAAGGGGCGGGGGGGGGGGTGCTCTTGCTTCTGAACACACAAGGGCTTTACTTATCTGTTTCATTTAACACTCTCCCCTCACCTGACCACCTTCCCAAACTACCTCCTGTCACTCATCAGCAGGGCCTTCAACTTTTCCCTTGATGTTCCTCGGGATTCATATCTTGTTTGACTGTAGCTGTTTTCCTGGTGTATTGTGTGGCTAGATGCAAAGTCATTGCTACCCTTAGAGAGTAAAGTCTGGAACCAGCACTTCAGTTACATCAGGAAAGAGAGGCTGTGCCTCCTGGGTGTGGCAGGGGGTCAAAGTGAGAAGAGACATTCAAAAACATCATATTATAAGGTGCCCTGAAAAAGCAAGGAGGGTCTGTAGATTAGGGCTGGGGAAAAAGGACTGGACAAAGGTATGATGGGGGAAATCAGACAGTGAGTTGATGAAAGCAAATACATTCAATGATCAATTAATATGCAGCAAAGAGGCTAGGATGCCTGAGATTTCTTTGGAGTTGGAGGATAAACATGGCATTTATGACTGTGACAGGGATTTATCTTGGGAGAGGGCAGTAGGGGAAAAATGAAAAGCTTTATTTTCAGCAAGTTCAGCTTTTGTAGTAAGATATTTAGCTTAAGAAATGCAAGCTAAGTACTGTGAGGGAATAAATTCAGAGAACCATATTCCCCATATGATTCCTGGAAACCAGTAGGAATTTGGCTCAAGAAGGGACGGCAGAAGGTGATTTGTGGTGTTATAACAGCCGCCTTGGAAGCCAAGATGGAAAATTTGTCCCTGAAAGGCTAGGCAGTTGGAGGAGACTCACTGGAAATTTCTGTCCGGAGAAAATAAATGAACCAGAGAAGAGCTTAAAAACACATGGTGGAGGGTGAAGTCTGGGACACCCAGGAACCCATATCTTGTAATAGGTCCACTTGTTAAATTCCTGGCTTATGGTCTAGAACAGGATTTTGTTCATTTCCTTGGAACAAAAAGGTCCCCAGGCACCCAGAGCTTCTATCTTATCCCAGTCCACAGCCTCTTACCCGTTCTTTCATTTCTCTTTTCTTTTCCTTTTTTTTTTTTTAAGAGATGGGGTCTTGCTCTGTCACCCAAGCTGGAGTACAATGGCACAAACACAGTTTACTGCAGCCTTGAATTCCTGGGCTCAAGGGATCCTCCTGCCTCAGCCTCCCAAGTAGCTGGCATTACAGGCGTGTGCCACCATGCCTGGCTAATTTAAAAAAAAAATTGTGTAGAGACAGAGTCTCGTCATCTTGCCCAGGCTGGTCTTAAACTCCTAGGCTCAAACAATCCTTCCACGTCAGCCTCCCAAAGTGCTGGGATTACAGGCATGAGCCACCCTGCCCAGCCTTTTTTTTCCTATTTCTCTCATTTTAAGAATAAATTCATTTATCATTTATCAAAAGAATCCATGAAAATTTCACAAATATTGAAAAATAGGGAAAAGAAATAGTTCAACGTTTTGTTTTTAGAAATTATTTGTGTCTTTATTTTTGTTTTTGTTTTTTGTTTTGTTTTGTTTTTGAGACAGATGGAGTCTCGCTCTGTTGCCCAGGCTGGAGTGCAGTGGTGCAGTCTGGGCTCATTGCAGCCTCCAACTCCTGAGTTCAAGCAATTCTCATTCCTCAACCTCCCAAGTAGCTGGGATTACAGGCACCCGCCATGATGCCTGGCAAATCTTTGTATTTTTAGCAGAGACGGGGTTCTACCATGTTGGCCAGGCTGGTCTCGAACTCCTGATCTCAAGTGATCTGACCGCTTTGGTCTCCCAAAGTGCTAAGATTACAGGTGTGAGCCACTGTGCCCGACGTTTGTCTTTATTTTGAATAATTATAAAAGTATTGAAAAGACTAGGAATAATATAAGAAATACTTGGATCTCTACTTGGAGAAATAAAACATTACAGACAAGTTAAATTATATCCCCTATTTTCAGTCACATTCCTCTCCATTCATTTTCAGAAGCAAGCACTAAGATAAGCTTGGTATGTATTCTTCCATTTTGTTTTATACTTTTGCATGAAAGTATGTCTCTCCTCTCCCCTCTTCCCATAAATAATATATAGAGCTTGTCTGTGTGTTTTTAAAATTTATGTAAGTAATACCTTAATGTATGTGTCATTCTGCAACAAGTTTTTTTGTTTTGTTTTGTTTTGTTTTTACCCAATATCTTGTTTTGGAATTTATTCTATTCTCTTTTTTACATTCCCCTTTTCTACTCAAACTGTACCCTGGAGCTGATGACATGTACATTACTTTTTCATATTTTTATGATAAAAATAATATGTAACCACATTACAGGAAAGTTGGAAAATCCAACCAATTGATGGCTCTTAGGACCAGAGAGCTCAGTGTCCTACTGTAGACTTGATTTGCAAAGGTTCTAGGCAGCTGGGCTAACCTAGTGGTTCTGCCTGTAAAATACTGAAGAGCAAAATTGGAAGTCTCTAGGGACACTTCCTTGCCTGTCTGTTACCCCATTCCATGAAGTAGTAAAACAGAGGCCCAGAGAAGGAAAATGACTTAACAAGGGCACACATTCATTGAATATTGTACTCGAGATTTCTGGATCCCTGTCTTGTACTTGAAACGTTTCCAAGGAAAAAAAGAGCGGTGGGGAGAGAGAGAGAGGGAGAGAGGGAAAGGAAACCTAGAACTGCAATTTTTCATCGTAAAAATTATCCATTTTAATAAAGCATGGGAAATACAGAAGAGTAAGAAAAATGAAGATATCAAGAATTGTCCATTTTCCTATTTTGAACTTCTGATCTTTTTTCTTGTACAACTTTTGTTTCTTTGATTGTACCCTATCTTGCTTTTTTCCACTTAACTTTATAATGTCATAATGCACATCTTTTTCAAAAAGCAGACTTCTACACTGAAATCTTGACAGTAAATATTTTTAAGGCACATATTTGCTATTTAGCCATTTAAAATGGTATAGGCAGGGAATTGTGTAGAGAGGAAAACAATGGCGTGGGATATTTTCCAGCAAGTTTGTTCCTGTCCTTTGGCTAGATCTTTTTCTTCTAAAACAAAACAACAATAACAATAAGATCTAGGTAGACATTTCTAGGATTCCTGCTACTAAAGTATTCATTCAGAGAAGTTTCATTACTCTCTCAAATGGCCTAGGGTGTGACCAAGGGTCACTCTAATATACTCCCCTCCACTTACAAGGCAAGGGCAAGTGTTGCCCTTGGGGCCCAAAGGGAGCCAATTCTGGAGCTACCTGGGTCATGGAAGTTGACCCTGAGGAAAAGACTGTGGTAGTTTCCCCAGTCCATGGAGTGAGGAGTGAGGTGGGGTGCTCAATTTTTCCAGAGCCTGAGCACAAAGACAGTGACAGTCATTAAAACTTCTTCAGCACTTACTATGAGAGGCAAGACATCCATTCCCAACAAAGCCACACCACTTCACACACACACACACACACACACACACACACACACACACACGATTAGAATTGTTGCCTACAGTTTTGGTTGCATTGTTTAATTGTAATAGTGCAAAAGTGCATTTAACTATGAAGGCTTGCTGGGAGAAAGGAAAGTGACGGTTTATTATTCTAGTCAGTTCAACATGTTTGAAACAGTGAAGCAATGAGAGATTAACCTGCTCGCTCAAAGTCACACAGCAAAAAAGTAACGATGCTGAGATTAACAAATAAAAAATGAAAACACCCTTATTCTTGGTCTTGGGTCTTGAAAGCTGGGCCTTAGCCTGCTGAAGCTCACTGTACTTCTGCTTTAATCAGTTTAATTCATTGCTAGCTTGCCCTTGCCACCTTTGATTCTCTTTGCATTGGCCAAATACCAATTTGCAGTAGTTGTTCTGAAGTGCTTGCCAGTTTCAATTTTTCAATTCCAGGCTCTATTCTTTCTCACAGGGCTAGAAAGCCACAAGTCACACTAGTGGCCAGCTGTATCTATGACCCAAACTTGCTCAGGTCTGTGTGTGTGTGTGTGTGTGTGTGTGTGTGTGTGTGTGTGTGTGTGTGTGTGTGTGTGTGTATGCCTGAGAATCAGTGAGGACTCCAGGACTGGGAATGTTCAAGGTTTTGAATTGAAATAATTGAACAAATTCCTCTATAAAGAAACCTTTTCCCCTGCCAAATGATTTTCTTCTTAATGATTTCTGCAGTTGATTAACGTTTAGAAATAGGCAGTGAAGCCTCAGTGAACGTGTATTTGCTAGGCCATAGGGTGCTCTTGCTTCCAGGTTGTAGAAACCAATGTTGAAACAAGTCCCAGCTGTGTTTACCTCCAGATTCAAGTTTCAATACAGGGGAGCTCCTTTCCACATCTATTTTCCCTCCTTCCTGCAAAGGCAGCTGAGCTAAAGCTGCCCTTAATAAGGAGTGGCCTTAGGCACTGCAGTAGCATTTACCCTTCAAACTGGGCAGACAACTTCTCTGTGGGGAGTCTGAGCCTGCCACACCTATCACACAGGCTTTGGGAAATGTGAAGTGGCACTTACTGCAATCTAACCTCCAGAGAACTTGCCTGCATGCTGGCCAGTTGGGCTATGGGAAACCTTGCCATTTTTTGCCTATCCAAAGGCCCACACCTAAACAGGTCTGAATGCAAATGCATGGGTGAAAGGGGTAAGCGAGGGGCACTACAGAAAGCTCACAACTGTCCTCAGACCCAGGAGGATGGCAGGCCAAGAAGTCCATTATTCATTTGTTTCCAGTGTCTCAGGTAAGTGAAGATTGCAGTCCTCACTGGAAAAGACAAGAGGGGCAAGGAGATACATGAGCCCAGAAGAGCTACAATGGACCTCATTTACAGATAAGCTAGATAGGCACTTCCCAGTCTTTTTGTACCCTCCCCAATCCTTCTGTTACCTTTTTTTGTAAGACCCAACTTTGAAGAGTTGTTTTTTCTCCTGAAAACTGCACTTATTAAATAATAGCTTTTCTGTGTTCCTATACATATGCATACATAAAACTGTAATATATATACATATATATGTATATATATACACACACATAAACATACATGCATCAGAGCTGATCAGCACAGAGAGCCAATGTTATTCTGCTTGGTTGCTATAATTCCAGGGAAAGGTAAAAACATTTAGCTAACTGGGGCAGCTGTATGAAAAAACTCTCCATTTTCTTTAAAGTTCTGAAATACTGAAAATGGTTTGAGGATCCCATTTATTACCTTTTTTTTGTTAAGATGACCAGGGTCCTCAGGTTGGAAACTACTGATCTAGTTAACTCCTCTTCCCTATTTTTGAGTCAGAATGTAAGGCAAATTTTGGCCAAATAGAAAGTTAGTCTTTGAGCTGGGATTAAAACTCATCCCACTGGGAGCCAGTTTGCATCCCTTCACTTGGTTTCCCCTACGACATTTCTGAGCTATAAATCTGACTCATCCATGATTAATTTTAAAAAATGTCCTGAATGATACTTTTGGCAGTGGTCTTTAATATATATTAAAGGCACATATGGTGGTTTGGAACTGCCTTGAGATTTGAGACAGGACTTCAATTTCTGGTAGAGGTATTAAAGGAGCTCTCTCCATTTATTTGGAGCTGTAAGTCATTTGTAGATAAAATGTACTTAGGGAGTGCCTACTAAGTGTGAGATGCTATCATAGCTGGGAGAAGGGAAGGGGTAGGAGTAACAATGGAGGAGTGGGTTAGTAGAACAGCCCCCATTTCAGGAAAACTATATTTTATTAGGGAGATATATGTGCACAGGACTATTTCTATGGCAAGGCATAAAACAGCGCATGCCTCAGTAGTAAATTGCACATGTAACACTTTGTCCAGCAGAATTCTCTGGAACTGAAAGATGTATAATGGAACCAAGTAAACCAGCAACTGTACCATTTCTAACTGTGAGGAGAAAACAAGTGGTGAAAGTTGTGCCTCACAGGTGCTTTGTGCAACAAATTACAACAAAATTTAGAAGCACTACCATCCTGGCTATTTATATGTTTATCATTAAACCTCACATTGACATCTTAGCTGCAATTGTTTTCTACCTCCAGGAAACAACCTAGGAGATCATCTAAACCATCTTTATCTGAAACATTAATTACTTTTGTTAGATTATCTTGCCTAGAAATATCCATAGACAGGCAGCTACCTCTAAAGGCAATCCATGCCAGAAAGCCCATTCTTTATATTTTCTTTTACTATTTTTATTGTGGTAAAATACACATAAAATTTACCATCTTAACCACTTTTAAGTGTACAGTTGTGTGGAATTAAATTCATTCACACTGTTATGCAACCATCACCACCATCCATCTCCAGAATTCTTTTCATCTTGTGATACTGAAACTCTGTACCCATTAAACAACAGCTCCCTATTTTCCCTTCTCCCCAGCCCCTGGCAGCCAGCATTCTATTTTCTATCCCTATGGATTTGATGACTCTAAATACCTCATGTAAATGGAATCATACAGTATTTGTCTTTTTGTAACTGGCTTATGTTCATCACCATAATGTTCTTCAGTTTCATCCATGTTGTAGCATGTGTCAGAATTTACTTCTTTTTAGGCTGAATAATATTCTATTGTGCATATATACCACATTTTGTTTATCCATTCATCCATCAATGGATACTTGATTTCCTTTCACCTTTTGGCTATTGTGAATGACAATGGGTGTACAAATATCTCTTCAAGACCCTGCCTTCAATAATTTTGAGTATATACCCAGAAGTGGGATTGTTGGGTCATATGGTGACTATTTTTAATCTTGTGAAGAATTTCCACACTGCTTTCCATTGTGGTTACACCATTTTACCTTCCCACCAGTAGTACACAAGGGTTTCCATTTTTTCAGATCCTCACCAACATTTGTTGTTTTCTGTTTTTCCTTTTTCTTTTTCTTTTTCTTTTTTTTTTTTTTTTTGAGACGGAGTCTCACTCTGTTGCCAGGCTGGAGTGCAGTGGCATGATCTTGGCCCACTGCAACCTCCACCTCCTGGGTTGAAGCGATTCCCCTGCCTCAGCCTCCCGAGTAGCTGGGACTACAGGCATGCACCACCACACCCGTCTAATTTTTTGTATTTTAGTAGAGACGGGATTTTCACCATGTTGTCCAGGCTGGTCTTGATCTCCTGACCTCGTGATCCGCCTGCCTCACCCTCCCAAAGTGCTGGGATTACAGGCGTGAGCCACCGCGCCTGGCCCTGTTTTTTCAATAGTAGCCATCCTAATGGGTGTAAGGTGATATCTTATTGTGGTTTTGATGTACATTTCCCTAATAACTAGAGATGTTGAGTATCTGCTCTTGTGCTTATTTGCCATTCATATATCTTCTTTGGAGAAATGTCTATTTGACTCCTTTGCTCATTTTAAAACTTAGGGTGTTAGGTTTTTTGTTATTGAGTTATAGGAGCTCTTTATATATTCTAGATATTAATACTTTACCAGATATATGATTTGCAAGTATTTTCTTTCATTTTCTACATTGCCCTTTTACAATGTTATTTCACAATAATGTTGTTCAATGCACAGAAGTCTTAGACTTTTATATACTCCAATTTATCTATTTTTTCTTTGGCTGCCTGTGCTTTGTTCTTTCCCCCCAAGATTACTCTGGCTATTCAGGGTCTTTTGTGGTTCCATGTGAGTTTTAGGATTGTATTTTTCTATTTCTGTGAAAAATGTCATCAGAATTTTGGTAGGGATTGCATTAAATCTGTAGATCACTTTGGGTAGTATGGACATTTTAACAACATTAATTATTCTAATCCATGAACATGGGATATCTTCCTATTTATTTGTGTTTTCTTCCATTTGTTTCATCAGTGTATTATAGTTTTCCATGTACAGATCTTTCACCTCCTTGGTTAAATTTATTCTTAACTTATTTTATTGTTTTTGATGCTATCATAAACAGAATTGTTTTCTTAATTTCTTTCTTGGGTAGTCCATTATTAGTGTATAGGAATACAACTGGTTTTTGTATGTTGATTTTGTGTCCTGCAGCTTCACTGAATTCATTGATCAGTTCTAACAGTTTTTTTTGGGGGACGATCTTTAGGGTTTTGTATATATAAGATCATGTCATCAGCAAAGAGAGACAATTTAACTTCTTTCTTTCCTATTTGATGCCTTTTATTTCTTTCTTTTGCCTAATTTTTCTGGCTAGAACTTCCAGTACTATGTTGAAAAGAAGTAGTGAGAGTGGGCGTCCTTGTCTTGTTCCTGATTGTCGAGGAAAGTATTTCAGCTTTTCATTGATGAGTATGATGTTAGCTGTGGGCTTGTCATCATTGGGTTTTTGATAGGGATTGCATTACATTTGTAAGGTCTCTCTGGTGGTATTTACATCTTAACATTAAGTCTTCCAATCCATGAACGCAGGATGTCTTTCCATTTATTAGTGTCTTCTTTAATTTCTTTCATCAACATTTTGTACTTTTCTGTGTACAAGTCTTTCTTCTCCTTGATTAAGTTTATTCCTAAGTATTGTTTGTGATGGTACTATAAATGGAATTGATTTCTTCATTTCCTTTTCTGATTGTTTCTTGTTAGTTTATAGAAATGCAACTAATTTTTGATGCTGATTTTGTATCCTGCAACTTTGCTGAATTTGTTATTAGTTATAACAGTCTTTTGTGGAATCATTAGGATTTTTCCTATTTTTAAAAAATAGAACAGTTTATTTTAGAACAGTTTTACATTTACAGAATTATTTTAATGATAATAAAGAAAATTCCCACATACCCCACACCATCTTCTCCTATTATTAACATATTCCAAGAGTGTGGTACGTTTGTCACAATTAATGAACTGATATTGATATATTATAATTAACTAAAGTCTATACTTTATATTTCTTCAGTTTTCTTCTAATGTCCTTTTTCTGTTCTGAAATCCCATCCAGGATACCATATGACATTTAGCTATCACGTCTCCTTAGGCTCCTCTTGACTGTGACAGTTTCTCAGGCTTTCCTTGTTTTTGATGACCTTGATAGCTTTGAGGATTCATGGTGAGGTATTCTGTAGAATGTCCCTTAATTGGGATTCACCTGATGTTTTTCTCATGATTAGACTGGGGTAATGTGTTTTGAAGAAGACCACAGGAATAAAGTGCCCTTATCATTACATTGTATTAAGGATACATGCTATCAACACGACTTTAACACTGTTGATGTTGACTGTAATTATCTGGCTAAGGTAGTGTTTATCAGGATTCTCCAGGGTAAAGTTACATTTTTCTCATTTCCATAATGTACTCTCTGGAAATAATCACTTTGGGCAGTTCATACTTTAAGACTGGGGAGTTATGTGTCACCTCCTTGAGGATGGAGTATCCACCTACATTATTTGGAATTCTTGTGCACTGGAGATGTATCTGTTCCTGCTCATTTATTTATTTGTTCAATCATTTATTTATATAAGTATGTACACATGTATATCATGTATATTTATTTTAAACTTTGGATTATAGTCCAATACTGCTTTATTTTGTTTCTCAAATTGTTTCAGCTTTGGCCATTGGGAGCTTTTTTTGGTTGACTCCTGTGTCCCTTTGACATACCTTCACCATGTGGTTTAATTTGTTTTTTCTTTTGAGATTGATTTTTGTTTTGCCTTCTGCCATGAAAAACTTAAGCTCTCCAGCATGTGACAGCCCTTCAGATTTATAAAAACATCCACCATTACCCCCTCTAGTGTTCTCCAGACTAAACATTTCCCACTCATTCCTTTACACATTCCTCATGTGACAGATTTATTGACCCCTTACTCATCTAGCAGCTTTCTTCTGGAAACATTCCATTTTGTCAGTTACCTGAAATACCTCCTTTCACTCTCCTTACCCTCCACAACAATTATAAAATTTAAGAGAAATCAAAGGTAGTTCTTCTACTAGAAACTATGTATGATAGTAAATAGTACCCAGGCTGTGTCACTGAATGAAAAAAATTATCCCCATATTAGAATTAAGACCCTTAGAAATTAGAGGAGAAATATGTTTCCATTTTGTGCAGAGCTTACTATTTTTCAAAGCTATTTAGGAAACTATTAGTTTGACTCTCCTAACCCATGTGGGAGGTAGGTAGGGCAGTTAGTGGTATGCCCAGAAAGCCAAAGCCCAGAGAAGGTGCCTTATCCAAAGTCACCATATGAGTTAGACAGACTGGGTTCTCTTGACTCTTACTCCAGTAACCTTAAAATTAGGTTTAAACTTTAACTGTGTAGGCTAATTTTTGTTTGTCAGACCCTCAACCATTAATCAGAATTGCCAATACATTTTCTTTTGAGCCGAACTTAGCCTCCCAATATAATATGAGATATGAAAGGTAAGTCTGAAATGCAAACACTTAAGAAATGTTTCTAGAAATCAAAATCATTTTTGTATGCTAGTAGATATCAATTGGGTGATCAAGCCAGAACTTAGAAAGCATATGGTTAGCTTTGGGAACAGAAGTGTCAACAGAACAAAAATGAATATTTTCTAATTGTCCTTGCTTGCTGCGGATATTAGGCAGCTAGCTTTGTGTCTTTTTCAGCACTTATCAAATTCTAATGGAAAGGTGCTGAGGTGTGGCTAATCCCAAACAGTGTATAATCCCCAAATAATTTATACAGTAATATCCTGTCACACATACACACTCCAGTGCCCAGTCTCTGCTCTTCTATTTTGGAGGTTGCAGAGACTGCACTAGATTTGGCAGATGGCACCAGTTTTTATTCCTGGGCTGTCTCTGCTCATTCACACCCAGGGTAAGGAATTAGTGGGAGCCTTTTCATGTATTCCTTTATAAACTGAGCAGGAGAGAAAAGAAAGAGCTAGAAAACTTTTCTCTCTTACTACCTGACCACTCCTTCAATCTTAAAACCAGTTCGTGCAAACCAGAAATTGTAGTATGTACAGAATATTTCAAGTCACAACTTTCTGGGATGAATGGTTTCCATACCCAAAGAGCCTCCTGCCTTTAAGGAGTCATCAGTTGAAAAGAAACAGTCAGATATCTGTGGCATTACCTACTGGCCAGAGTGGGATGGAGAAAGTGGTCTGAAGTTTAGTTAGCAAATGTTGAATTTCAGGGTTGAGGAAGGGGAAGTATGGTATCTAGATAAGGAAGAAGGCAGCAAAGGGGCTGAGAGCTTTTCAACTTTGGTGACAAGGATGGGGAGGAGTAAGTGGGAACAGACACTATCCTTACTTGGAGAGTGGTGGTTGCTGAGGAGAAGGACTTATTGCTTTATATTGAATTTTAGCATTAATACTTTCTGGATCTCTGAGATGGAGAGTTGACAGAAGAACCTAGGAAGCATGACTAAGTGGTTGAATCTGCTATGGAAAAAGGGGAAACGGGGCAGGCTTTTACTTATTTGAACCTAGGTACTTTGTTTCTTTGCCACCTAAAAGTTCTGGGATGAACTGAATGAGGAATATGAATTGAGCAGATAAGATTCCTTTTACTGGAGAAAAACTAAGTCCTTTGGAAACTTGAACTTTTTTCTCATTCAAATTCATTTCTAGGCCTTATTCATTCATTCTATGTTTTTTTTTTTTTTTACACAGTAGCCACCGCCCCCGCTTCACACCCCTACCCCCTACCCTTCCCAGCCTCTGGTAACTATCCTTCTACTCTCTGTCTTCATGACTTCAATTGTTTTGATTTTTAAATCCCACAAATAAGTAAGAGCATGTGATGTTCTTGGCAACTTTGTGGAAAATGAGTTCACTGTAGGTGTGTGGAATTGTTTCTGGATTTTTTATTCTGTTCCATTGGTCTATGCACCTGTTTTTTATGCCAGTACCATGCTCTTTTAGTTACTATACCTCTGTAGTATAATTTAAAGTCAGGTAATGTGATTCCTCCAGTTTTGTTCTTTTTGCTTAGGAAGGTTTTGGCTATTCTGAGTCTTTTGTTGTTCCATATACATTTTAGGATTTTTTTCTATTTCTGTGAATAATGTCATTGATATTTTGATAGAGATTGCATTGAATCTGTAAATTGTTTGAGTAGTATGCACATTTTAACAATATTGATTCTTCCAACCCACAAACATGGAATATCTTTCCATTTTTTGGTGTCCTTTTCAATTTCTCTTATCAGTGCTTTATATTTTTCATTGTAGAGAACTTTCACTTATTTGGTTAATTCCTAGGTATTTAACTTTATTTGTGGCTGTTGTAATTGGGACTACTTTTTGATTTCTTTTTCAGATTGTTCACTGTTGGCATATAGAAATGCTATTGTTTTTTGTATGTTGATTTTGTCTCCTGAAACATCACCGAATTTGTTTACTATTTCTAACAGTTTTCTATTGGTTTTTCCAAATATAAGATGATATCATATGCAAACAAGGATAATTTGACTTCTTCCTTTCCAATTTGGATGCCCTTTCTATCTTTCTCTTGTCTGATTGCTCTAGCTAGGGCTGCCAGTACTATGTTGAATAACAGTGATGACAGTGGGCATCCTTGTAGTGTTCCAGATCTTAGAGGAAAGGCTTTCTGTTTCTCCCAATTCAGTGTGATACTAGCTGTGTGTCTGTCATAGATGGCTTTTATTATGTTGAGGTATGTTCCTTCTTTGAGGGTTTTTATTATGAAGGAATGTTGAATTTTATCAAATGCTTTTTCAGCATAGATTGATATGATCATATTGTTTTTATCCTTTATTTTGTTGATATGATGTATCACATTGATTGATTTGTGAGTGTTGGACCATCCTTGCATCCCAGGGATAAATCCCACTTGGTCATGATAAATGATCTTTCTAATGTATTGTTGAATTTGGTTTGCTAGTATTTTGTTGAGGATTTCTGAATCAATATTTATCAGAGATATTGGCCTGTAGTTTTCTTTTTTTGATGTGATTTTGTCTGGTTTCAGTATCAGGGTATTACTGACCTCATAGAATAAGTTTGGAAGTATTCCTTCCTCCTTTATTTTTTGGCATAGTCTGAGTAAGATTGATAATAGTTGCTTATAGTAGCTACTAATGATCCTTTGGATTTCTGAAGTATCAGTTGTAATGCCGTCTTTTTCAGTTCTGATTGTATTTCTTTGGCTCTTCTCTCTTTTTAATTTATTTTATTTTATTTTTTGACAGAATCTCGCTCTGCCACCCAGGCTGGAGTGCAGTGCTGTGATTGGCTCACTGCAGCCTCCGCCTGCCAGGCTCAAGTGATCCTCTCCCTCAGCCTCCTAAGTAACTGGGACTACAGGTGCGTGCCACCATGCCCAGATATATTTTTTTTTTTGTACTTTTAGTAGAGAAGGGTTTTCACTCTGTGGCCCAGGCTGGTCTTGAACTCCTGGACTCAAGTGATCTGCCTGCCTTAGCCTCCCAAAGTTCTGGGATTTCAAGCGTGAGCCACCATAGCCTGGCTCTTTTTATCTCAGTTAGTCTGGCTAATGGTTTGTCTATTTTGCTTAATTTTTCAAAAAGTCAACTGTTTTGGAAACTGGAACTTTTTAATTCTCCCTCACCCACAAAAGGATTATTCATTGTAAATTGAATTAACATACTCTTCCCTAGATGGGGTATCTCAGTTAATGGGAAAGCCAGGTCATGACTCCAGGTCCAAATGGCCCTGTCTGATCCTGGTGGTTGGGCAGCTTTGCATAAATTTAGGATGCTATAATTTCTGCAAAGCGTCTTATGATTCCAATATTAGACTTTCAGAAAAACCTTCCACATCATCCATGCACTGTGTGTACATGTGTGCTGAATATTTTTAAAATCTTACAACTTGCCTAAATAGAGTTTTTCCATCTCCATCTTGGGTGCTTAATCACCTCATCTTCTTTTATCTCTTCTTTCTCTCCTATGTTTGTTGAGGAAACAAGATTAAATATAACAATTTTTACATTGCACACAAAATAAAATGGCTTGTTTAGCTGTGACTTTAAGGCCACGCATGAGACAGTCTGTACAGGACTTACCTCCCTCATCAGAGGAACCCTTTGAGTCTTTAAAAAAGGTGAGGATGAAAAACAAGAAAACTCTTTTAGATTTTCAGCTCTCCATTTGCTCTGCAGCATGAGAACTAAGAAGCAGGTGGCAAAGATAGACAGTAAACTAGAAGGAAACAAAACAAGGTCATTTTCCTCCTTGTACCTTAGCTTCTTGAATGATAATTTAAGATACCTTCAATTTTCTGTTATCTGAAGTAGTCTGCTTTATGGATTACTTAGACTCTTGTTTCTTCATCCTTTAACTGTTTGGTGTCACTTCTTCCAAAGCTTTTTAAAATATATTTTCTGATTCTACTGGAAGAGCAGTCATAGGGTGTAGGCATGTAGGAGGAAACAAAATTATAGGGACAGAAATCAGTCTATTTTCTAGTACTTTAATTCCTTAAGACCTAAGTCAGTATCCTTATTTTTAAAAACTACTGTCTAGCTCCCCATCCTTGCCCATTTCTTTTTCTATACATACATATTCTCTCTCTCTCCATCCTTTCCTTCTCAGCAAGTCTGGTAGACAGACTAGTCTGATGCCTCAAAAATACTCTAATTCGTAGAAAGAAAGTAAATTCTGCCTCTGACGTTCCATTCCCCCTGTGGTTTTAATTAGGGTAAATTCTCCTATGCTCACTTTGAAACATGCCTTGGGATCTTAGGGAGATGGCAGGCAGATGGCGTATTAATGCAGGGTGATGTTTCTCACTTCATGGTGCCCATGCAACATTTATTGTCATTAAAATAGTGTCATTCAAATGAGGTGGCTGATGTTGGAAAATGAATGCAAAGTTGATCATTGTTCTGTGGATCTGAGCTTTGATGAAGAAATTGAATTAGAGGCAGCATTTCAACTCTGTTTAAGTAATAAGTATATATGTATCTATAACTCAGTAGTGAAACCTTTCAGACTGACAGGAGGGCAAAGCCTCTAAGACTATATTAGGGTTTACGGGTATAAAAATACGTGCCTCTCCTGCTTTACCAGGCTGTGGGGAGAATGAGGAAAATAATATCTGTAAAGTGACCTGAGCACCCAGAAAGAAAAATTTAGATGTTTTATTAGACCTACGCAAGATCTTTGGTTAGTTCCCCAGAGCCCTGTAAAGTCTTGGAAGCCCTGTAACAAATTTCTCTTTTCCCTTGTCAGGTTTTTGTTTTCCCCTGGTGCCCAGGTTAAAGAGAAATTGATTTCTTTCCATCTTGTGTTTAGCTTTTGTCCCTCTGCATTGAGGCTTTGAATTGAGAATATTTCTTTGGGTCTGTAGGGCTGTCCAATGATAGTTAGGCTTAAACATTAAACAACCTTACAGAACTAATTAGGCTTTATTGCCTGTGGCCAAGTCAACGAATTTTGCTTCATAGAATTTCTGAGAGAAAAAAAAATACATATTTAGGACTTGGTAAAACTTTTCTTAAAATGTCTCCTTGTAAATGCCAGCGTTGCTGACCCTGTGCAAATATTTTGTAATAGCCCGGCTTGAGAACATCCCCCACATTTCTCTGTTGTATTCTTTATGACTTCCCTCCAGGTTGAGCTGTGAAAGGGTGAGGGGAAAGGAGCCATGTCGGAGAAGTAGAAGAGACTGAATCAAATGTTTAGAGAACATAGCTTGATTAATTCAAAACTGAAGCCCTGGCCTCTCTAGTCTCATGTTCCACAGCAATAATTTCTCCTTGGCCAGAAGCCTAAGCATCTGTGTCCAAATCTCATACTCTTTCCTAAATGGATTCATCAAGTCAGACCTTGAGTTGCTTGGTTTTTTCTGAACCACCCCCTAATTTAAGTTAAACTTAAAAATGGGAGCCATTAAATAGCAAAACAAACAAATACAACAATAATAACAGGACATTATGTCCTGGCCCTCAGAGGTCAATTTAATGTGATTAGCAGCATAAAACTTCACAACGCCTTTCACTGGAAGATTACCAGAAGCAACATCATTCAGTATGTTGCCATGCACTGCCATTCTTTCACTTTGGCATTATTTATTGATTGTAGCAGAAACACAATATTTGTACCTCTTAAGCATTTTAGTTTCCTTTAGGCTTTTCTCTAGTAAATGTGGAACTGCATCATTTTGTTAAACTGTTCTGAAGTCTAAAAAAAAAAAAAAACCCTCCTGAATATTGTTTACATCCCTGGTTACAAAGGCCAGTACTGAGGCGGAGCTGCTCTGCCTGCTTTGATTCTTATCAAGGGCAACACTGTATGTGTGCATATGTATGTGTGTGTGTTCACACAGGAGAGGGTAGTAAGTGGAGCAAGAGTTTTAAGGAAGGAGCGGGGCTGGAAGGAAAAAAACTTTCAATGAATTGAAACTGCATAATGAAAAGATTCTGAAATTTAATTACAAAAATGGCTCTGTTTTTTCTCTCACCTCCTCCTCGCTCCCTTTTCTCCTCTCCATCCTCTCCAAAAGCACTGAAGTAAAATGAGACTGTCAGATCAAAGCCACACACCCACTCTAGGTCTGTTTTGAGAAAGGGATTTTTTTCTCCCCTTATTTACTTTGTAGCAGTGGCAGCATGTCTACTGCAGGATGCAGTGACAGTGTGGAGCCTTGTCACTGTTCTGCTTGATCTCCTCCCGTGTGCCACTCCCTGGTCTGGTGAGCAGGGTCAAAGTTTCAAATGATGACTGTGGCCACAGTTCTCACCATCTCTTGTGTTTTCACACTTGGCCATTCAGTATTTAGGCATTGTCCCTCTGACATATGGCCTGAAAGAGTTGAAGATTAAGTTTCCAAGTTTGGAAATGCCCAAGCGTAGCCATGGAGGGTGTATTTGTCCCATGTGGCTGCGGGTTCTGTTGAGTATTTTTGCAAAAATATTAAAATGTCTACTTAGGATTTAAGAATATGTTTGATGATATGTACATAATTCATAGCGCATTTTAGGGCACACCTGCATTATTTAATATTGGAGTTTCTCTTTTTAAGTTTTTTTATTTTTGTCTAGGACTCTTTAGAGTGCCTGTGCCTGGGTTCCTTAATATTCTTTCAGACCAGTTGTCAATTTCCAAGTGCCTTAAAATAGAGCTATTGGGTTTTCTTGGCCTTTTCTGGCCCTCATTCTCTTCTAGTTCATGATTTTTCCTCAAAATAAAGTTGTACCTAATTAATAAAGGTATATAGGTATTCAGTTTTAATACTGTCTATAAAGTATGACTCATACTTTCTCTATTAGGAACATCTTTGTTACATTGAATGCATATCTCTCCTGTAGTTGGTTGAGAGAAACATGTAGGTCTAGGATCAAAGTCCTAGAACAGGATCAGAGTCACTGGAAATGCAACCAAAATGGGGATAGAGGCTCATGGGACAAGAACTGGAATGTGTGTTGTATTGAGCTACAGGGAGAAGGAAGAAACTAAGTACCGATTTGGTAGAGAGAAAGAGGGGCAGAGAGAGAGAGAGAGAGAGGGAGAGAGAGAAAGAGAATGAGAGAGAATGAGAGAGAGAGAGAGAGAGAGAGAGAGACAGATTAGGTTAGGATTAGGTTAGGAAGAACCTTGAAACATCAGACAAAAAGAAGAAAACTAAAGCAGACTGAAGAGCAGTGTGTCTTTGATTATGGCTATTCACCAAACCATTCTTATTGCTCTTTCTGTTATTATTAAGCTATCTCTGAGATGTACACAGTGTATATCTCAGTGCACAACAGACCTACCAGTGTAGATCTTTTAACTCATTCCTTTAATGAATTTTTATCACTTTCACAGTCCTTATTAGCTCTCTTTTTAATGGTTTTTTTGGAGCCCATAACTAGATATGCCACCTCAGGAAGAATTTTATCAGTGCTCTGGGAAGATGGATTTACTATTTTGAGTTGTATTTGTACACCATGCAACCATGAACCACTTAGAAACCACCTTAGTGACTCATACTTTCTTTATGGTCCATTCTGATTCTGAAATCCTTTGAGTGTTACATTTCTCAATCTGATTTTAACAAGGATTAAAATAAATAAGTAAATAAATAAAAAGTTTTCTAAGGTTTGCGAAACACTATTACTGAAATTTAGAGGACTTGAGGCCTTTAAATCAAACAATATTTTCATTATAATTTGCCTTTCCATCCCCATTTGGTCTTGCCACATCTATGCTGCGACAAAAGAAAACCTTTAGTACCTAATATCGGTACTTGGTGTTCATTCATCTCACTGTGGTTTTCACTTTCAAAGCACAATACATTGCTTCCCCATCCCATTCCTTTTGTTTCTACCATTCTACTTTGGCCTTGGAAATTAAATATTGCATCCTGTCCCTCACAGCTTATTTCTGCCTCTCAATTTTGCAGATCTGGGCATTAACGGAAATAATAAGCACTTTATAATTTTATAGTGCTTTATAATTTTCAAGGTATTTTCACATCCATTGTCTTGAGTGATCCTCTCCACACCTCACTATATAAGCAGGGCATGGATTATTACCCCATTCTAGCTCAAGGCCATATAGCTAACTAAGGGAAGAACCAATAAAGTTTCTAGATGAATTTGTTTCACTACACTTCTTCCACCATCAGTTCCATGGCCAAATTTTTTTCCTGCTACTTTTTGAAAACTGAGTATATATAGGAATTTTCTTTTTGGTATATAAATTTTGGGAACAATGAACTATTCGTCTAGGTGAGTAAAAGTGTATGTCTGCATCCATTTGTTTATGTGAATAATATGTGTTCGCTAAAACTTGAAAATGTTTGACATCATTCTTTTTGTTTGTTTGTTTTCTTTAGTTTTTTTATTGTACTTTAGATTCTGGGATACATGTGCAGAGGGTGCAGGTTTGTTACATAGGTATACACGTGCCATGATGGTTTGCTGCACCCATCAACTCGTCATCTACATTAGGTATTTCTCCTAATGCTATCCCTCCCCTAGCCCCTCACCCCTCAACATGCCCCGGTGTGTGATGTTCCCCTCCCTGTGTCCATGTTTTCTCATTGTTCAACTCCCACTTATGAGTGAGAACATGCAGTGTTTGGTTTTCTGTTCCTGTGTTAGTTTTCTGAGAATGATGTTTTCCAGCTTCATCCATGTCCCTGCAAGGGACATGAACTCATCCTTTTTTATAGCTGCATAGCATTCCATGGTGTATATGTGCCACATTTTCTTTTTTTTTTTGTTTGTTTGTTTATTATTATTATTATACTTTAAGTTTTAGGGTACATGTGCACAACGTGAAGGTTTGTTACATATGTATACATGTGCCATGTTTGTGTGCTGCACCCATTAAATCCTCATTTAGCATTAGGTATATCTCCTACTGCTATCCTTCCCCCCTGCCCCCACCCCACAACAGTCCCAGGTGTGTGATGTTCCCCTTCCTGTGTCCATGTGTTCTCATTCTTCAGTTCCCACCTATGAGTGAGAACATGCCGTGTTTGGTTTTTTGTCCTTGTGATAGTTTGCTGAGAATGATGGTTTCATCCATGTCCCTACAAAGGACATGAACTCATCCTTTTTTATAGCTGCATAGTATTCCATGGTGTATATGTGCCACATTTTCTTAATCCAGTCTACCATTGTTGGACATTTGGGTTGGTTCCAAGTCTTTGCTATTGTGAATAGTGCCGCAATAAACATATGTGTGCATGTGTCTTTATAGCAGCATGATTTATAATCCTTTGGGTATATACCCAGTAATGGGATGGCTGGGTCAATGGTGTTTCTAGTTCTAGATCCCTGAGGAATCACCACACCGACTTCCACAATGGTTGAACTAGTTTACAGTCCCACCAACAGTGTAAAAGTGTTCCTATTTCTCCACATCCTCTCCAGCACCTGTTGTTTCCTGACTTTTTAATGATTGCCATTCTAACTGGTGTGAGATGGTATCTCATTGTGGTTTTGATTTGCATTTCTCTGATGGCCAGTGATGATGAGCATTTCTTCATGTGTTTTTTGGCTGAATAAATGTCTTCTTTTGAGAAGTGTCTGTTAATATCCTTCGCCCACTTTTTGATGGGGTTGTTTGTTTTTTTCTTGTAAATTTGAGTTCATTGTAGATTCTGGATATTAGCCCTTTGTCAGATGAGTAGGTTGCAAAAATTTTCTCCCATTCTGTAGGTTGCCTGTTCACTCTGATGGTGGTTTCTTTTGCTGTGCAGAAGCTCTTTAGTTTAATTAGATCCCATTTGTCAATTTTGGCTTTTGCTGCCATTGCTTTTGGTGTTTTCGACATGAAGTCCTTGCCCATGCCTATGTCCTGAATGGTAATGCCTAGGTTTTCTTCTAGGGTTTTTATGGTTTTAGGTCTAACCTGTAAGTCTTTAATCCATCTTGAATTAATTTTTGTATAAGGTGTAAGGAAGGGATCCAGTTTCAGCTTTCTACATCTGGCTAGCCAGTTTTTCCAGCACCATTTATTAAATAGGGAATCCTTTCCCCATTGCTTGTTTTTGTCAGCTTTGTCAAAGATCAGATAGTTGTACATACGCGGCATTATTTCTGAGGGCTCTGTTCTGTTCCATTGGTCTATATCTCTGTTTTGGTACCAGTACCATGCTGTTTTGGTTACTGTAGCCTTGTAGTATAGTTTGAAGTCAGGTAGCGTGATGCCTCCAGCTTTGTTCTTTTGGCTTAGGATTGACTTGGTGATGTGGGCTCTTTTTTGGTTCCATATGAACTTTAAAGTAGTTTTTTCCAAT